>NC_000014.9:76581409-76732925 GCF_000001405.40 Homo sapiens | reverse complement strand
CATCTTTATACCAAAGCAGTCATCAAATATAATTTTCTACATTTTTTTATGGAGGAAGGGACCTAGGAAGGCAAAAGTGGTTAAGGCCAACAGATGTAACCCTGGCAGAAATTACCATTTTGTTTTCTTTTTTGTATATTATGCTAATCCCCCAGCATCTCATGTATACAATACACCTACGTACACATACACATATCTATATCATTTTTATAAAAATGTGATATTTGCTGTTTGTATTTACATATAAAAATGTGATATATAAAGAGTTTTATGATTTTAAAAACTTAACAATATACTGTTCATGCCTTTCTATGTTATCAAATGTTTTTCTAAAGTATTTTTCTTTAATGTTTTATTTTTAATTGTAAAAGTAACACATACACATACAATTTTTTGAAATGGAGTCTCACTCTTGTCACCCAGGCTGGAGTGCAGTGGCGTGATCTTGGCTCACTGTAACTTCTGGCCTCCCAGGTTCAAGCGATTCTCCTCCTTCAGCCTTCCGAGTAGCTGGGATTACAGGTGCCTGCTGGCTAATGTGTGTGTGTGTGTGTGTGTGTGTGTGTGTGTGTGTGTGTGTGTGTGTGTGTGTTTATTAGAGGTAGGATTTCACCATGTTGGCCAGGCTGGTCTAGAACTCCTGACCTCAAATGATCCACCCACCTCGGCTTCCCAAAGTGCTGGGATTACAGGCGTGAGCCACCACACCCAGACATACTTACTTTTTTTTTTTTAAAAGAGATAGAATCTTGCTTTGTCACCCTGGCTGGAGTGCAGTGATATGATCATAGCTCACTGTAACCTCTAACTCCTGGTCTCAAGTGATCCTCTTGCCTCAGCCTCTCAAGTAGCTGGGACTACAGGGATGCACCACCACGCCTGGGTAATTTATTTTATTTTAGTTTTTGTAGAGATAGGATCTATCTGTATTGCCCAGGCTGGTCTTGAACTCCTGGCCTCAAGTGATCCTCCTGCCTTGTGCTGGGATTACAGGCATAAGCCACTGTGCCCAGCTGTACAACATCATTCTTGATGGCTGCATAGTGCTCTAGTGAATAGATGTATTGTAAGATATTTAACCTATTTTGGGTGTTTCCAGGATTTTGCTAAGATGAATGAGACCAAGATGAACATTCTTCCAGCAAAATCATTGCATCCATGATTATTTCCTTGGAATAAATTTCTAGATGTACAGTTTTGAAATTTGACACTAAAGGAGTACAAACATGCCAACCCCCAAATATACTGTCCTGGCATATTGACTGTTTTGAGTTAAAGGCACTTAAAAAACAGGGGGTACTCTTAGAAGATCCCTCTGACCTTCCTTTTGTTTCTTAAAAGCAGGAGATGAAATTGTCATGTGAAAGATATCTTCCTTATACCAGAAAAAAAGAATCATTCTTGTCATCAAGAATAGGAAGTCGAGGCAGGGGAAATCTGTACTTGGTAGACTAATTCTTATCTTCCTAGTCACTCCTCTACCCAAGTAACTACCCTAGCCCAAGCCCCTTTGTCTTGTTACATTTTACTACTGTTTGCCCAATTTAGTATATAAATGTTCAACTATGTGTCTTTGAGTCTTCATTTCCTTATGAGTGCCCCTGGGTCATGTAAACTTGTATTGAATGAAGTTGTATGCTTTGCTCCTCTTGATTTTCTCTTATTATGTCATTTAATTTGCAAGCTCAGTTGATAAGCCCTAAGGAAGGTAGAGGTAAAATTTTACTCCTCTACATCACATTATGCTGCACTTAATTTAACAGTGTAAGAGCATCAGTGCAACGTGGGTCATTTGTGATGCTACCCATAAGATGTCCTGGGGCCTTCTCCTATATCAGCAGTACTGCAGTGGCCTCTCCTTGGTTTAGGAAGGACACCTTCCAGTGTGATCACTGGAAGCTTGGGGGACCACTGTGTACAACACATAGTATAAGCTCAGTCATTATTTGCCAAATGAACAAATAAATGAATATAGACTCAGTATGACTACTGGTCCACAAATGCAGATATTCAAGAATACAACATTTCTGTGTACTCCTCAAGTCAACGTGGATTAATCCCACCTGTGAAAGTGGTGGGAAGTTAAATTTCAGTAATTACTGAGTCTCTCTGACAGTGTTCCACCTGCCCCAGGTCATTCAATGTTCTTAAAGCCTTAAGCACTAAAGACTCATCTGGGATTTGCTGCCAGTCCCCTGCCCCACTGGTCACTCTGCGACCTCTGTGTCTCAGCTTGAACAGTCCCTTTCGGCTCCTGCTCCTGCTGCATCCATGCCACACTTGGGGCAAGGGACTCTTGGGAAAACTTGAGGCCCTTAGTGCCTGGAGTTCAGCACCCTTAGGTGTACCAATAGCCATCTGTCTCTTTAGATCTTTCCAGAAAGAGATGCATGGCTCCCCATTGCAGGCTAGGGGATTCTCTCTTTGAAACCAGACCAATTGTTCCATGGAACTGATGTTTATGGTTTCTTTGGAATAAACATAGGAATGGACCCTCCCAGTCTTAAAACATGAGGAATTTACATTTGTCTTATTCAAGTTCCTTTCTCAGGAAACCAACCATCAAGCCTCCCAGACAGTATCAAAGAACTGAAACTTACCAGATCACCACGTCTGGACAGTGAGATCTCTCACCAGTCATGATTGCCTCACAGACCACCTGCTGTCTGTTGACCAACTCTTTTTTACTCTCCCTAATTCCTGTTTTCCCACACATAGTTACATTCCTTCCTTGCTATATAAACTCCTAATTTTAGTTGATTGAAGAGACAGATTTGAGACTGACCTCCCATTCTCCTTGGCCACAGCACCCAAATCAAGCATTCTGCTCTGGTAATACTTGTAGTCTCAGTGATTGGCTTTCTGTGCAGCAAGGAATGGGACACCTGGCATTCTGTGCAGCAAGCAATGGGATGCCTGGCATTTCAGTAACATCTTCTGCCCCTGGAGCTGTACCCCACAGGCTTAAGGAAATTGGTCACGGGCTGAGCATGGTGGTAATCCCAACACTTTGGGAGGCCAAGGCGGATGGATCACTTGAGGTCAGGAGTTCGAGACCAGCCTGGCCAATGTGGTGAAACCCCATCTCTACTAAAAATACAAAAATTAGCCGGGTGTGGTGGTGCATCCTGTAATCCCAGCTACTCGGGAGGCTGAGGCAGGAGAATTGCTAGAACCCAGGAGGCGGAGGTTGCAGTGAGCCAAGATCGTGCCACTGCTCTCCAGTCTGGGTGACAGAGCAAGACTCCATCTCAAAAAAAAGAAAAGAAAAGAAAAGAAAAGAAAAGAAAAGAAATTGGTCACTGACCAGAAACCTTGAGCTTGACTTACAGGATGGTAGATAAGGAAACAGCTTGATACAATCCCCTCCAGTTGCAACAATAACTGGCTCACTGGCTGAAACTGGAACCAATATGGCTGACTAGAGTCTTCCCAGAATAGACTTACTTGCCCAGTGGGTGACTTTTGACATCACAGCCAAAATTTCCACTGCATATTTCATACCAACTCACCCTGAATTTGCGTGTGTGACTCATGAAGAAGCTTGAAGACACAACTATACACGTTCAAGGGCCTTTCCAAAATTCCTCTCCTTTGCTGCCAATCACTAACCACCCCAAAGCTCCTCCTCAGAATCTCTCCCTTAAATATACTGCTTCAAGGCTGGTCTTGCAATGTACCTTTCTCTACAGAAATATCTGCAAAAATGCTCCAGGGTGTGGCTTTCCATTGTGCATGAGCAAACAGACTCAGTTTGGTTCAGCAACACCCCTTGCTACTCTTGTTCCCCTCTTCATGTAGAACACATCTCTTTATTACATTTATCCCATTTCCCCTTACCCTACTGCCACCAGCAACGAAGGAGACATGGACTTGAAGCTCTTTAGCTTTCTGTGCTGCGAAATCTCAAAGGCAAGCAATTCTAAAGGGTCTGGCTACCCACTTAAAATCAGAGCAGGGACGAATCTATGGGAGAGCAAGACCAAACTATAATCTCAAATGATTGTGCTGCAAATGGATTCATAAAATGTTAAAGAGGGCGGTAATGCCTCAGAAAAGAGAATCCTCATTGTGGTGATTGAGCTGGCTTTAGGATGCCCACGGTAGTGATACATCTCACCGTGGAGAAGGGAGAGGTGGGGCTCTTTGGTCATTTAGGTCACTTCTGCACTGTGGTAACACGTTTACATGCCACAAATGCATGGTTAGGCAAAAAGGTGTTTTTTCTTGTTTAATTTTTCTTTTCTATTTCTCTCTCCTCTGGGATTGGTATTTTCCAACATTAAGCAGATTAATGTGCATGTGTTGCAGATTTCATGTGGCTTAGAGTTGTGTGGTATAGGGGAGGCAGAATTTTACCCCTACCTTTTTAAGGTTTTTCAGCTGGGCCTGAGAATTAAAGTGACATAAGACAGATCCACAGGATAAAAGAATACTAGTATATTTAGTACAAGTTTTCCATGGCATGGGGGCCTTCATAAAGAATTGAAGACCCAAAGACACAGCTAGAGTCGAACACTTACATACTGAATTAGACAGAATAGTAGAATTGTGAAAAAGTAACTAAATTCAGTGGGGAGGCTAAAAAAGGTAAGTTATTTTAACAAGGTCTGTACAGAATTCTCTCCACTAAAGCTTCCATTCTTGATAATAAGACTGTTACTTTCCTTGTAGTATAGGGAAAGTATACTTTCCCTATACTGTGGGAAAGAAAGCATCTTTCACATGGCAGTTTCATCTCCTGCTTTTAAGAAACAGAAGGAATGTCAGAATGATCTTCTTGCACCTGCTGTTTTTCAAATGCCTTTAACTCAAAATAGTCAATATGCCAGGGCAGCATATTTTGGGGAAGGCATGTTCTTATCTCCTTCAGTGGGAATGAGACAGTTGGAAACATTGTATGATTTGGAGAGGAAGCCCTGCATTTTCAGAGGCCTTTGTTTTGGGTGTGCCTTAACTGCACCTGCATTTCTTGCCGTTTCTTACAAAGAAACTTCCTTTTGAGAATCAAAATATTTCAGCTGAAGTTATTTTCAACCACAGGGAAATGTTTGAAATGTCAGCCTTTGTTAGCCCAAAGAATATTGTTTCATGAACAGTGATCGAAATAGTCATTTCCTTTGGGAAGCCTCTGCCATTGAAACAAACTTTGATTTTGGAAGCAAAATTTTGGCTTTAAAGATGTCATCCAAGTGTTACAACTTTTTCTAATAGCTCCCTGGCCATGTATTGTAGAGCTATGATAGGTTGTTTGGGTTTGAACAAGAAAACATGTTCTGGCTAGGTTGGGCAGTGTTAAGAGGAGGGACAGTATAGTGGTGGGGAGCAAATCCCTTACAGCCGGGCTGCCTGGATTTGCAATCCTCGTCATGCCACTGCAAGCTGACTCTTCGGCAAGTTATGTAACTGTTCTGGTCTCAGTTCCTGCATCTATAAAATAGGGGTGATGGTAGTATTTACTGCCTATGATTGTTATAATTATTAATTAGTGTATTAAAAAGCACTTAGAGGCTAGCACAGAGGCTAGGCGTTATAATTATTAATTAGTGTATTAAAAAGCACTTAGAGGCTAGCACAGAGGCTAGGCATGGTGGCTCATGCCTGTAATCCCAAAACTTTGGGAGGTGAAGGCAGGAGAATTGCTTGAGGTCAGGAATTTGAGACCAGCCTGGGCAACATGGTGAGACTAAGTCTCTACAAAAAATACAAAACTTAGCCAGATATGGTGCTGCACACCTGTAATCCCAGCTACTCAGGAGGCTAAGGTGGGAGGATCGTTTGAACCCGGGAGGATAAGGCTGCAGTGAGTCGTAATTGTGCCGCTGCACGCCAGCCTGGATAACAGAGTAAGACCGTGTCTCAAAACAAAACAACAACAACAACAAAACAACAAAAAAACAAAAAAAAGCACTTAGAGATGGCTAAATGCTAATCCAATAAGGGCTGTAGTTTAGTTAATAGTATTGCATTCATGTACATTTCCTGGTTAGATACAGGAGTGCTGGGAAGGGAAGGGTGTAGTTCTTTTAAATGATAGGGAAGGGAGAAGGGAAGTGCTGGGTAGAGGAGGGCGTGGTCTCTGGCTAGGGCTCCACCCCCACCGACCTAGGTGAGGACAGGAATTTACTGCCCAAATGTTGCATTTTCCAAGACCACCCTGGCCTGCCATGCCCCCATCCTGTGCCTATAAAAACCCGAGACCCTAGCAAGGCAGAAACAGCAGCAGCTGGAAGTCAAGAGGAGTGCTCTGTGGAGGAACACACCCACAGGCACCAGCATGCCGGCAGGCCACTGACTGGCAAAACAACGCGGTGTTTGGCTGGGGCAGTCGGAGGAGCGCTCGGGCCGCCAAGCAGACCGACTCCAGGGAAAACCATCTCCCTTCTGGCTCCCCCATCTGCTAAGAGGTACTTCCACTCAGTAAAACCTTCCGCTCATTCTCCAAGCCCACATATGATCCGATTCTTTGGTGCACCAAGGCAAGAACCTGGGGATATAGAAAGCCCTCTGTCCTTGCAATAAGGCAGGGGTCTAATTGAGCTGACTAAAACAAGCCACCTATAGCCGGCCAAACTAAAAGCAAAACTAAAAGAGCACACTGGGCTAGGTGCGGTGGCTCACGCCTGTAATCCCAGCACTTTGGGAGGCCTCATGAGGTCAGGAGTTTCAGACCAGCCTGGCCAAGATGGTGAAACCCCGTCTCTACTAAAAATACAAAAATTAGCCGGGCGCGGTGGCGGGCGCCTGTAATCCCAGCTACTCGGGAGGCTGAGGCAGAAAATTGCTTAAACCCGGGAGGCGGAGGTTGCAGTGAGCCAAGATCACACCGCTGCACTCCAGCCTGGGCAACAAAGCGAGACTCGGTCTCAAAACACACACATACACACACACACACACACACACACACACACAGTAACACGCCCACTAGGGCTTCAGCTGTAAACATTCACCCCTAGACACTGCCATGGGGTCGGAGGCCCATAGCGTGCCTGTCTGTATGCTCCCCTACAGGTTTGAGCAGCAGGGCACTGAAAAAGCAAGCCACATCCCCATCGCACGCCCTGCAAGGGGGACAAGGGAACTTTTCCCATTTCAGTTGTGATGATTGTACTATGAATATGCAGGATGTTACCATTGGAGGAAGCTGGATTAAGGGTACACGGGAACTATATAGTATATCTATGTGCACTTCTACATGAGTCTAAAATTATTTTAAAAATACAAAGTTAAAAAGTACTTAGGGAAACTATATTTGGTAGTATGATTCTTTGAGTAAGGTTTGTCTTTGACAGGAGACTGTGGACTGTAAACTCTCTGAAGTTAAGGACTATTACTGTTTTCCCCAGCACCTAGTACAGTGCATGGCACATAGTTGGTCTTCAATAACTATTTGCTGA
Organism: Homo sapiens; assembly: GCF_000001405.40. Lineage (NCBI taxonomy): Eukaryota > Metazoa > Chordata > Mammalia > Primates > Hominidae > Homo > Homo sapiens. Next base: position 76,725,528 of record NC_000014.9, on the reverse strand, counting down.
CTGAAAATGAATAAAGAAGATACTAAGGGTACCGGCCAGCAGAACTTTAAGCAACAAAAGAGAGACAAACCAGTTCCTGCATTAAGGTGGGAGGAAAGAGGTGAGAGGGCCATGCACCAATATTTGGTAAGACCTTCAAAACACATGCACACACACATGCATGCCCGCAAACACATGTACACACACAACATGCACCTGCCCCTGTGCAAATTAGGGAGTGGTTTGAGTGCCACGGATGGGTCAATGGTATGTGTGCCAACAGCAACAACAGCAGGATGGCAAGGTGATTCCTAAAGTGATGTGATTCTGCAGATGCAGCTCAGAGCCAGTGGTGAGCACAAGAATTTGGGATGAATCCATGTTATCTGGATTTTGGGTGGCTTGGTGAACCCAGCTGACAGTTTTAGTAAATAAACCTAGACGATCTTTTTCTGTACTCAAATGTTAAATGTAAGGACAATTGTTTAAACATCGTTCTAGTCTAAGGAAAGCTAGAATGCTACCTAGTTTGCTAGAATATACCCAGAAACAGGGGAAGAGGGTTGATATGGTTTGGCTGTGTCCCCCGCCAAATCTCATCTTAAATTGTAGTTCCCATAATCCCCACGTGTCATGAGAGGGACTTGGTGGGAGATAATTGAATCATGGGGGAACTTATCCTCATGCTGTTCTCGTGATAGTGAGTTCTTACAAGAGCTGATTTATAAGGGGCTTTCCCCCTTTTTGCTTGGCACTTCTTCCTGCCACCATTTGAAGAAAGATGTGTTTGCTTCCCCTTCCATTGTCATTGTAAGTTTCCTGAGGACTCCCCAGCCATCTGAACTGTGAGTCAATTAAACCTCTTTCCTATATAAATTACCCAGTCTGGGGTATGTCTTTATTAGTAGCGAGAGAACGGACTAACACAGGGTCAAATTCAAGAATTAAGCTATGCTGCTGGTAATATCAGGGTCACACCACATATGTGATAAGCCTATCAGAACATCACAGGGTTTAAACTGATACTACCATTTATGATTTGGAAAGGTTCTAGAAATTAAGAGATGCTTTGCTGCATTTGTAACTCTAAGAAATACAAAAGGTTTGGGTGTGAATTAGGTTTCTCTATTATATACAGGGTGTTAAATCAGACTTTGCAAACAATCCTAGGCAAAACTTACAAGGTCTGAAAGCATTTCCCAGAAGCTATTCACAATGCCTGACTTAAATACTCTGTATATAAAATTATAATGTAAAACTGTTGTTCCAATTTTTTTTCATAAAAGCCAAATACTTAAAACTCGATGTTTTATTTCAATATCTATCATATCATTGGGCAGGTTAGGATATGTAACAAATATTCTAAGCTCCTAAGAATGGATGGAACTATGTCACCTGTCTGTGTCTTAGCTGCCCAGGTAGAAACTTGGTTCTTTAAAGCTGTAGGGGAAGAAAATCTTTACCTCAACCATCTTAGGGTTACTGGTTGGGACTGATAATTAAGATGACATAGGCAGATGAACAGGAGAAAAGCACACAGGTTTTGACATGTACATGGGATCCCCCAAAGGAAAATGAAGATCTAAAGAACTGGCAAAACCTAAGTGCTTATATACTAGGTTGAACAAAGAGAGGCAATTGTGGAAGAGTAACTAAAATATACATGAGGACTAAAAGAACGTAAGAATTATTTTAACAAGGTCTGTATGTACAGATTTCTCTTGGTCTCAACTTCCTATCTCTGATGATAAGAATGTTTCTTTCCTCCTGGTATAGGGAGGGGACCTTTCACATGGGAGATTTATCTCCTGTTTTTAGGAAGAAAAGGGGAGGTCAGAGCACCCCTTTTGCAAGTGCCTTTAGTTCAAAATAATCAAGGCAAGTGGCATATTTTGGGGATGGCATATTCTGCCACCCTTCAAAGCCATGGACTGTGTGTATGACTGTGGATCTATTTTTCATGTTCTCCATCCCCTTCCTATATACCATGTTGTTTTGCAAATAGTTGATGCACAGTGAATTTTGGTAGATTTTTAAAAGCTCTTCACTGTACTCTATTAGCACAGATAGTCTTACTATTCAGTTGCATTTCTAAATGCTGTTAGTGCAACTATTACAAATGCAATATGTGTTCATTGCAACAAGTGGAAAAAGTACAGAAAAGTGTAAGGAAAATAAAAATCCATCATGATTCCACTGTATACCAATAATCACTGCTGACAGTTTCACATATACCAGACTCAGATGTTTTTGTGCATGAGTGGATTTATATAGTACACAGTTGATAACCTGTTTTTTTTTCTGAGTATTGTCTATAGAATTCCCATCATTAAGTATATATCAACATCACCATCTTTACTGACTTCATAGTATTCCATTTATGTATGTGCTGTAATTTCAATCCCTATTGCTAAATATTTAGGGTATGTCCACATTTTCTCTACTATATGCTGCAATTCAGCAAATATCTCTGAACATACATTCTTGGGAAAAGTTCTCAAGAGTGAAATTGCTGTTACTTTCAGTTTAAAATTTGATTATACTCCAAGTTGTTTGATTTTTAAGGATGTTGAACACCTGTACATATGTCTAGTTTCCCTACTTTGAATATAAGCTTCTAGAATAGAAGGAAGAAATCAAATCTTGGAAGTCTCTGTATCCTCTACAAGTCCTAGCACAGCTCTGGGTGTTGGAAATGCTTTTGACTGCAAATCATGGAACACCTGTGCAAGAGTAGCTTAAATCAAAAAGCCACTTAATCATCGCCCATAATTAAGAAGCCTGGGTGTAGACAGTTCAGGGGTTCGTGCAGCAGCTCAGCGAGGTCCTTCCACCCTTTTGGCTTTAGCACACTTCCTGCCCTGCCTGAGCGCCAGCACATTGTCTTCACTCGGCACGCCCAACCCAATCTAGAAACAAGGAGGTGGGCAAAGGAGCTCTCCTCTTGCCCCTCTTTTTTTTTTTTTTTTTTTTTTTTTGAGACAGAGTCTTGCCCTGTCGCCCAGGCTGAAGTGCAGTGGTGTGATCTCAGCTCACTGCAACCTCTGCCTCCCAGGTTCAAGCGATTCTCCTGCCTCAACCTCCTGAGTAGCTGGGATTACAGGCACGCGCCACCACGCCTGGGTAATTTTTTGTATTTTTAGTACAGACGGGATTTTGCCATGTTGCCCAGGCTGGTCTTGAACTCCTGAGCTCAGGCAATCCGCCCACCTTGGCCTCCCAAAGTACTAGGATTACAGGCGTGAGCCACTGTGCCTGGACTTGCCCCTCTGTTTTTATCAGAGAGGAAAAGATTTTCTAAAAACAACCCAGGAGAATTTTTTTTGTATCTTATTGACTAGGCTACTTCTAGCGCAGAAGAGGCTGGGAAGGTATCTTTGGCCTTTCATCCCCTATGATGAAAGGCAAGCTCATGGGAAGGAGTCAGGGAAAGACTGTTGCGTTGGCCACCAACAAAAATGGGGCCCAGTGATAGGACTGAACATATTCCCAGAGTTGGCATGTAGATCATCTCCTGCCCCCACTCCTCTTCATCTCTCAGGGAAGAAAACGAGTTTTTATGGTGTCACCAGCCATGGGATCTCTGGGGACCCAGTGTCACCAATTCTGCCTCCCTCCTTAGCGTTTTGGTGGGGCTTTCCTGTTCTTGTGGGTGTCCTCCAGGGGAGACTGGTCCTACAGGGGGCCCAGGGCTGTGGGAGGTGCCGTCAGGGCATCTCAGCAACTGAGAGAGACTTGGGCCACACCCGTTTTTCAAGCTCCCTATAAATTAAAAATACAGGAGAAGAACCCTAACAGCATTATAAAGTTTGCAGTTTGGCCCGGCCCGGTGCCTCATACCTGTAATCGAGCACTTTGGGAGGCCAAGGTGGGCGGATCACCTGAGGTCAAGAGTTTGAGACTAGCCTGGCCAACATGGTGAGACCTCGTCTCTACTAAAAATACAAAAATTAGCTGGGTAGGGTGGCAGGCGCCTGTAATCCCAGCTACTCGGGAGGCTGAGGCGGAAGAATCGCTTGAACCCTGGAGTCAGAGGTTGCAGTGAGCTGAGATCTTGCCACTGCACTCCAGCCTGGGCAACAGAGCAAAAACTCCATCTCAAAAATAAATAAATTAATTAAATAAAGTTGGCAATATATTTTAAATGTTTGCCACTAACAGATTCATTCCTTAATACAAAGAAAACACTGCAATAAAATTGGACACCATGGCCTTTAAATTTATGAAAAATACTGACTCAGTGTAGTGTAGCTGGTGTGACCCAGGATGGGGACAAGTTCAAAATTGAAGGTTGAGCAATCTTTTTTTTGGCAACGGAATCTCACTCTATTGCTCAGGCCGGAGTGCAGTGATGCAATCTCCACTCACTGCAGCCTCTGTCTCCTGGGTTCAAGTGATTCTCCTTCCTCAGCCTCCCGAGTAGCTAGGACTACAGGCGCTTGCCACCCCGCCTGGCTAATTTTTGTATTTTTAGTAGAGACAGGGTTTCACCATGTTAGCCAGGTGGGTCTCGAACTCCTGACCTCAAATGATCCACCCACCTCGGCCTCCCAAAGTGTTAGGATTACAGGTGTGAGCCACTGTGCCTAGCAGGCAGTCTTCTTACAATGCAGGTGTTTTGTTTGGAGGTCTTTGCAAATCTAAATTTGAGGTGCTTCATGAATCGAATATATTTTGTATTTTTAGTAGAGACAGGGTTTTGCCATGTTGCCCAGGATGGTCACAGCAAACAGTGCTCCTGGGCCCCCTGTGATAGGCCCCAGGGCAAGAGTTAAGGCCCAAAAGGACTGAGGCCTCAGGTGCCGCAATTTCAGAATTAGTTACTCATTTCCTTCCTCTCCTCCGGTCTGATTTTCCCTTCCCCACCAGCCTCCTGCGCTCCTCTCACTTCCCTTTCTCCCCTCCTAAATTCTCCATCCTCTTTTCTGACCTCTTCCTGCCCTCCCCTTCCTCCCTTCCTTCCCTCCTTTGAAAGTCTGGTCCTCTAGAGCTGTGGAAAAGACTGGAATCTGAGCCCTGGCCTGCAGCCAGCAGGGAGCCAGGAGGAGCAGCTGCAAGGTCAGACCAGGGTCACATCAGCTGCTGAGAGAGAGAGGAAGTGAGGCTGCCTGGGCTTCCTGGCCCTCAGGGACAGGCTTACTCCACATGGCCCCTCTCTGCACCCCTGTTCCTGCTGAAAGGTGCCAGGATATGCCACCCCAAAACATACCACTTTGGCATAAGGATTATTTTGAGCTAAAGGCACTTGAAAAACAGCAGATGCAAGAAGGGCATTCTAATCTAGTTTCTTCCTGAAAACAGGAGATACGGACTTTCATTTGAAAGATGCCCTCCCTGTACCAGGAGAAAAGAAACATTCTTTGAGTTACTCAGAAGACACTCTTTGTTTGCTGGGAAGATTGTGGCTTATTTTAAAAGCAAAAGCAGCATCCCTCACCCAGCATCACTTTGCTCAGGGCTGCCTTTTGTTAAGGAGCTCCTTAAAACCAAACTCAGGAGGCATTTTCTTTTTTCTCCTATGACCAGAGTGTGTTGGCAAACAGGCTGCTCCATGCCTAGTGTGGCCACTCCCAGCGCACTGGTCGGGAATGGGAGGGAGGAGACTCTGTCCCCTTGACCCAGTTTTGGGGCGAAATCCAAGAGCCTCCTTGGCTCTGTGCGTCTGCCTCTTTGAGTGTCTGCAGCACCAGCTCTCCACTGGTTGTTTTAGAGTTTCAGGGTCTTAATGATGTCGAGACCGTAATGGTGCCAGGGCATTGGTGCTGGTTATTGGTTCCACAGGTCACTCCTGGGCTGGCCCTCAGTCTTGTCCACATGGCTCTGGGGAGGTATGGGGGTCACTCTGCCGCTTCATGTCACAGAGCCCTCCATGCCCCGTCGAGTCCTGTCCACGCAGGCCTTCTCTCTTGGGTTGCTCCTCCTGAGACCCATCCCTTCTCTGTTCTCATCCTCTCCCCTCCAACACCAGCCCAGGAAAAACCTTTCCTACATTTTGGGTCCTTACCTGTAATCTCCTCTGTTCTTCCCAAATGTTTAGACTTTAGGGATTGGAAGCTGGGAGTTCTTAGACTGCTATCGACTTTCTTTCCTTCCACCACTTTCTTCAGTAAAGGAGCACAGAGCCCAGGATCTGCTTTAAAGGGGCGGAAGGAAAAACGGGGCAAGAATCTCGAAAACGTGGCCCCACTTCTGAGTGCTCGTCACCTGGCACAATACCTGGTACACAGCAAACAATTGTTAAACCAAAAAAAAAAAAAAAAAAGCTGGGCACAGTGGCTCATGCCTGTAATCCCAGCACTTTGGGAGGCCGAGACGGGTGGATCACCTGAGGTCAGGAGTTCGAGACCAGCTTGACCAACATAGAGAAACCCTGTCTCTACTAAAAATACAAAATTAGCTGGGTGTGGTGGCACATGCTTATAATCTCAGCTACTCAGGAGGCTGAGGCAAGAGAATCACTTGAACCCAGGAGGTGGAGGTTGCAGTGAGCGGAGATCATGCCATTGCACTCCAGCCTGGGCAACAAGAGTGAAACTCCATCTCAAAAAAAAAAAAAAAAAAAAAAAAAAAGAAAAGAAAAGAGAAACATGGCAGCAAGAGAATGAATAAATGCAGGCCACCTGGCTCAGAGCCGCAGGACTTGAATTCAGATCCCAGCCCCCTGGCTGACCTCCCTGTGTAAGTTCTACTGACCTAATCCATAAAGGAGGGGAGGGATGAGTTCATCGCTGGGATTCCTTCCAGCCCCCAAACTCAATATTTTGTATCCACATAGGAAAAAGAAAGAATATTTATGCAGTCGTCCCACTGAACTGGAGCAGGGAAGAAACCTGCCTGGATGATTCAGGCTCACATACACAATCATCTCCAAATATGCTTCCCTTCTGTCAAATGCCATCTCCTAAATATCACCAGAGCAACCTGCGGAGAAGGCAAGGCTGAGTTGATTGTTCACCGTGGTAAGGTAGAGTACCCCCTCCACAAAGCCTCAGTAGCTTCCCAAAGTGGGAGGGCAAAGTGATTTTTATTGAGACTTTGAGGCCTGGTTTAAGGTGGCTCTTTCAGTGCAGAGGTGGCATGCTTGATGGGGGTTGCTAAGATCATGATTGGTAGACACAGCAAAGTGAGGATTTCTGGCTGAGGCGTTCAAAGAACCTTGGGGTATAAACTGTCTTCCTATTGAACCTATAAACTGATGCTTCCTGTTGAAGACATGGTGTGTCCTTCAGGAAGTTCCTGGGATGAACAGTAGAGTTATTTACAGCTTTTATCTTCCTGGGCAAGCATTTTCTGGAATAATAGTGAAGTTACTTTGATGAGGACAGTGGAATAGTAAAGTCATGTTAATATAGACAGTGAGCTATGAGTGGTTTGATTCTCATCCCAAGCTGTCTTGGTTCGCTGTTTGAATGACTGTGATGTCCCCTCCACCAAGAAGGCTGACGCCTATGAACATGTGTACTCCCTTTCCCTCTTGGTCCAGCTGGATTTGGCCCATGAAGGCAGGGAGCAGAGTGAGGCTGGAATATTCATTTCTGTTCTCTTTCTGCTGGTATTACCCAGCAAGCAATGGGCTCACTGCCTGATGCACACACAAGCCAATACCATGGCACTGAAAACCTTTATTGGGAATTGACTGGCAAGACAGGAGGCAAGGCTGAAATCTATGTCGCCTAGCTGGTGGGCTGGGGCAGGTTTTATAGGCGAAGGGTAATGAACCATGATCTGATTGGATCTTGCAATGAGGTGATGCTGGGGAGGCATGATCTGACTGGATCCTGCCACGGGGTGACACTAGAGCTCAATCTGATTGGATCCTGGATCCTGCCATGTGCAGTCCACCTCTGAAAGCAGTCCTTGCTCCCGGCTTCCAGCACTTAGGTTCCACTTGTGGTTGCACACTTGGTTCATCTGGGCATGTTCAGGTTACTTGACTTTCAACTTGGGGATCCATGGCAACCAAAAAACAACTCACGACTTTGTTACATAAAAGTTGAACCAGGGCTGGGCACGGTGGCTCACGCCTGTAATCCCAGCTCTTTGGGAGGCCGAGGTGAGCAGATCACGAAGTCAGGAGATCGAGACCATCCTGGCTAACACGGTGAAACCCCGTCTCTATTAAAAGTAAAAAAAATTAGCCAGGTGTGGTGGCAGGTGCCTGTAGTCCCAGCTACTCAGGAGGCTGAGGCAGGAGAATGGTGTGAACCTGGGAGGCGGTGCTTGCAGTGAGCCAAGATTGCGCCACTGCACTCTAGCCTGGGCAACAGAGCGAGACTCTGTCTCAAAAAAAAAAAGAGTTGAACCAGATTGGTCTGGTGTGATTACACTGGGTTGCCCTGGGTTGGTTGCCTCCGCCTGTTTCAGCCCTCAGCTCCTATCACCAGCCTTCTCAATAGCTTCTCTCTTGAGTTGGGGTAACTGCTCCCCGACTTGCCCTTTTATGCCTAAGGGAGCCTAGCTCCTAGTATCCCATGTGGCTCTTTCTCTCATTTCTTATTCCCAATGAGCATGTGTTGCTTTCCTAAAGGCATTTCCATAACATTATACTTTTAAAGTCAACTGTGTGTGAGTATAAATGCTATTGGACATCAGGGGAGAACTCGGAAAAAAAAAATGTTCATTTTTATTGATAAACTTTTTAACTAAGGCAATTTTCAAAGAAAGCTAAAATCATGACATTCCTACAAACATAAAATGGACATGTTAAAATTGTATTTAGTGCATCATTAATGAAGGCTGGTAAGATGTGACAACCGGTTCAAATGAGAAGTCAAAAGAGGCACAAATTTATATGGAGAAAAGCAATGTTGAAGTGTATTTACGAATAGAAGGAAATATATTTACGAATAGAAGGAAACATATTTCAAATAGAAGGAAACTGGCTTTCCTTTGGAAAATAGGAAGTAAATTGAACCACCTCGGGACAGAATGTATTTGCATGCCTGCAAACAGGAATTATTTACATTGCTATCAGTTATCTACAATTTACAGATTTGAAAAATAGCTCAAAGGCAATGAATGGCCCAGAGACCCTAAAGCATCGCACTCAGATAACCTGGAAGGGTATGCTCTAAAGGATACACAGTTTCCCAATGAAGCACACATTTTTTCCTACGTGACATTTATTAAGCAGTTAATACTTGCAGGCAGTGATCCAATCCATGGGGACTGATAGTCTGCTTGGAGATTTAAGACACAAAAGAGCTGAGCCGTCTCCCTCCAGCAGTCTGATTAGTGGAGTGTTTATTATACTTCCTCTCAGTGACATAAAGATACTCCAAATTGAGTTCCATCATCAAGCTTTCCTCTTGAGAAAAACAAAAGTTTCCACTGCTTTCAAAAGTTTGAAAGCCACCAACCCATGTCCAGCAGGTTCATTTTATAGAAGAGAAAATGAAGGCTCAGAGAGGAAATGTGGTCTGCCCTGGGGCGCGCAGCTTGTTAACTCATGTCTGGTCGGAAGATGGGCTTTCAGGGCCGAGAAGGTGCTCCTTTTTGGCATTATTAGGTGACAGAAAGAGCTCCTGGAAGGGAGGATTTAGGAAGCAGGCTGTGACAGATGGTTTTCATCTCCTGTGCTCTGGGAAATCGCTACCACCCTCTAATTGGATGTTGGGAGCTTCAAGCAAACTGGCAATCTACATTGTATCATTGTTCCGTATCCCTAATTATCCCTTGGGATTTGGCTTAAGTGCAGCTTAGAGGATGTTCATTAATAGTGTCGACAGGGACACTCAGCATTTGTAAAATTCTTTACAATAATTGAAGACCTAGCATTGTTCTGGTGTGGTAAGGAAGCATGTTTGCTCCCAGCCGAAAGATGACTTAAGCTAAGAGGGTGGAGACTGGCTGACTTGGGAGTTGTTTTTCTAACGTCCAGGTCTGAACTCACAGTTCTACAATCCTTGTTTTCACCGGCTCAAGGAAGCTCCTTGATGAATTACATGAGTTCAGCTTACTAATGGGCTTACTTCACCAGAGTCAGAGTGATCTGTCCTTGGCATTTCATAACCCACTTCAGTTTCCTATCTCTTGGCCACCGTATTGTCAAAAACCTCATATTCCTGTGGCCATGACCAGTTCCAAAAGAAGCTTTGTCTCCACAGACAGATCGTGGTTCCATCTGGGCCTACCACCAAAAGCCTTGTGATTCCAGATGGAAAAATCCCCACACCCCCCCCCGTTTCCAAAGCAGCCCCCCATCTCGATTGTTTTATCTACAGTCAGCAGCACGAATCCTCCACAATCAGAGTCTCTCCGGGGGTGGAAAGAGTGGCTAATGGGGGATACAGCTCATCTTCAAACCCTGTGCCATGTGAATGGAAAAAAAAAATGCACACATCTGGCTGGGTTAGATAAAGAGGAGGGCTGGGGCAAAGAAGCCGGGAGTGGTGGTGGGGGCTTCCCTCTATCAAAGAAAACATTAAGAAAAAGGCTGCTTTTATTGCAGAGGAAAATTAAAACTTTACATTGTGACTGGAGCTGTTCAACCATCTACATTTGGCTGGGCACGATGGCTCACGCCTGTAATCCCAGCACTTTGGGAGGTCGAGGCGGACGGATCACCTGAGGTCAGGAGTTTGAGACCAACCTGGCCAACATGGTGCAACCCCATCTCTACTAAAAGTCCAAAAATTAGCTGGTCATGGTGGCAGGCGCCTGTAATCCCAGCTACTCAGGAGGCTGAGGCAGGAGAATCGCTTGAACCCGGGAAGTGGAGGTTGCAGTAGCCAAGATCGTGCCATTGCACTCCAGCCTGGGCAACAAGAGCGAGACTGTCTCAAAAAAAAAAAAAAAAAAATCTACATTTTTGTTGTTGTTGTTTTCAAAAGATATCCTTGAGGAACCCCAAGTATTTGGCTGGAATCCTTTGGTGACAGCCAGTTTCCTTCCAGGAGGTTGGAACAGAGCTGCATGTGTGTACATGTGTTTGGGGGGATACAAGGAATTGAGTGGTTTTCTTTCAATCATAGCCTCACCCTCCTGCCATTTGAGGAAGACGGAGGGAGAAGGACAGGATGGGAGGAGATAATTTCTGAAAAAAATTTTTTTTTTTTTTTGAGTTTCACTCTTGTTGCCCAGGCTGGAGTGCAATGGCGTGATCTTGGCTCACTGGAACCTCTGCCTCCCGGGTTCAAGCGATTCTCCTGCCTCAGCCTCCCAAGTAGCTGGAATTACAGGTGTGCACCACCACGCCTGGCTAATTTTTGTATTATTAGTAGAGACGGAGTTTCACCATGTTGGCCAGGCTGGTCTTGAACTTCTGACCTCAGGTGATCCACCCACCTCAGCCTCCCAAAGTGCTGGGATTACAGGCGTGAGCCACCATGCCTGGCCTGATGATTTCTGAATTTGAGGAATGAAATTTCAGCTGCCAAAGAGCACCTGGAGATGTGTTTCCTCCTCCCACACCCTCTTTCTCTCCCCACAGCCCCTACTTACCCCAGTCCCCAGAACCGCCTCCCCTGGAGGCATCTGGGACATCATTCTCACTACTCATTTCCTCCTTCCTCAGCTACAGGGGAGGCCAGCTTTCTGGTCTTCTGTTGCCCATATTGGACTTTATTTGGTGCTCCAAAGGGAGGTAGAAATTGCAAAGGACTCCCCTGCCCTTGCATATTCTGTAGATTCCCATCGCATGCTTCAAATAAGCCGTGTCCATTCTTCCCCCAGAGCCTTGCCTCTGTACCACCCCAGCTTCCCCCACTTCCTTTTTGCTGAGAACTTTCTCTGTATTCATGAAAGTTCTCCCTAATAGCCTGAATAAAATAATCTCCTTAATTATCCGGGGCATTTCTTTCACCCTGTACTGCCCACACCAGGAGTCTGAAATAGAACCATAAGCACCTTCAGCGTTAAGACAGGGAATTACCTTAAGTGGTTTCAGGAAAGATGTGAGCAGGAGCTACTTAATGGGGTGAAGGTGAGGCTGCCTTGAAGATGAACCCTCCTTTTGGGCAGTGTTTCACTTCAAAACCTCAGAAGCGGTGACCCTAAGGAGATTTTTATTAACACACCTACGAAGCAAACATAAACCCCCCTCTGTGTGCGTGTGTGCACGGATGTGTGCTGGGGGGCAGTGCAGGAGAGGAGGGGGTGCTGGAGAATCTCCAGGTGAAGGGGGATGCAGTTTTGTTCCCATTACAAAGACCCCTTGTCAGCCCGCTGGCCAGGCTGAAAGCGCCGGCCACTTCCCATTCAATGCCAGCTCTCCTAAGTGGGCCGGGTGGCTGTGGCCTCGGTTAGGGCGGTTGTATATTTGCACAGATCTGCCATTTGTCATGTTCCCAGAGGTCTTCAGGACAATGACTTTTGTGGGGGTATGCTGGAGGAAGGTAGCTTTTCAAAATTGGGAACCTTTTCGGCTTGCTAAACGGAAAAGGACAATGGCCTCTTTGTCCCTAGTGTAAGACAGCTGTGGGGAGCCCTAGGAACCCACCAATGGTAACTTTAAAATGCTGCCTTAAAGGTATTGAACAAGTCTGGGTGTGATGGCTCATGCCTGTAATCCCAGCACTTTGGGAGCCCGAGGCGGGAGGATCACTTTAGCCCAGGAGTTCAAGATCAGCCTGGGCAACATGGTGAGACCCCATCTCTACAAAAAATATAAAAAGTAGCCAGGTGTGGTGGTGCACACCGTAATCCCAGCTACTCAGGAGGCTGAGGTGGGAGGATCACTTGAGACTAGGAGGTTGAAGCTGCAGTGAGCTGGTGATTGCACCAGTGTACTCCAGCCTGGGTGACAGAGAGACACCCTGTCTCAAAAAAAAAAAAAAAAAGAGAAAATAAAATTAAAAAAAAAAGATAACAAAATAATAATAGCCACTAGTTTAAAGAAAAACACTACCCATAATTGTGACATTGAAATACAGTATAGTAACTGATTAATGTTTCCATTTTTATATATTAGGTTCCAATCTCACATTTTACAATTGGGGTAGTGCCAATTTATGTCTTTTCACTTAACATTATGCCATATAATCATTTTCTTTTCTTTTCTTTTCTTTTTTTTTTGAGGCAGAGTTTCGCTTTCGTTGCCCAGGCTGGAGTGCAATGGCTTGATCTCGGCTCACCGCAACCTGCACCACCACGCCTGGCTACTTTTTATATTTTTTGTAGAGATGGGGTCTCACCATGTTGCCCAGGCTGATCTTGAACTCCTGGGCTAAAGTGATCCTCCCGCCTCGGGCTCCCAAAGTGCTGGGATTACAGGCATGAGCCATCACACCCGGACTTGTTCAATACCTTTAAGGCAGCATTTTAAATTTACCATTGGTGGGTTCCTAGGGCTCCCCCCAGCTCTCTTACACTAGGGACAAAGAGGCCATTGTCCTTTTCTGTTCAGCCTCCTGGGTTCAAGTGATTCTCTTGCCTCAGCCTCCCGAGTAGCTGGGATTACAAGCATGGGCCACCACGCCCGGCTAATTTTTTTGTATTTTTAGTGGAGATGGGGTTTCTCCACGTTGGTCAGGCTGGTCTCGAATTCCCGACCTCAAGTGATTCACCCACCTTGGCCTCCCAAAGTGCTGAGATTACAAGCATGAGCCACCGTGCCCGGCCCCTAATCATTTTCTTATAATACTATAATATCTAATTCTATTGGGTCAATGGAGCATATTTATTATGGTTGAACCTTTCCTCTGGTGTTAGACATTGTCTTTTAGTCTCTTTTTTCTTTGCTATTGTAGATAATGCTGAAATTAACATCTTTGGATATACAATTCTCTGCTTCTGAAGAATGAAAAGATAAATAACAGAGCTAAGAAAGGGACTGATGAAACTTACAACAGCAGGTCTCAAATTTTTGGTCTCAGGACCCCTTTATGCTCTTAAAAATGATTGACAGCCTCCAAGAGCTTTTGTTCATGTGAGACATTTTTATATTTGCCTTGCTATATTAGAAATTATAGCTGGGAAAATTCAAATATTTATTAATACATGTAACAATAACTGTAAAAATCCATTGCATGTTAACATAAATTACACATTTTTACCAACAATAGCTATATTTTCTAAAACAAAGACATTTGCAGAGTGGTGTTGTTTTATATTTTTGCAAATCTTTTAAATGTTTGGTCTACAGATTCTCATATCTCCTTCATTCCATCTCTTGTGATTTTTTTTTTTTTGAGATGGAGTCTTGCTTTGTCACCCAGGCTAGAGTGCGATGGCGCAATCTCGGCTCACTGCAACCTCTGCCCCCCGGATTCAAGCGATTCTCCTGCCTCAGCCTCCTGAGTAGCTGGGATTACAGGCGCCTGCCACCAAGCCCAGCTACTTTTTGTATTTTTAGTAGAGACAAGGTTTCACTGTATTGGTCAGGCTAGTCTCGAACTCCTGATCTCAGGTGATCCTCCCACCTCAGCCTCCCAAACTGCTGGGATTACAGGTGTGAGCCACCACGCCTCGCTGACATGTTGTTTTAACTGAAGTCTATGAAAAAAACCTGTCCTTGAATAGATACATAATCGGAGAAGGGAGAGGGTACGCTTAGGGGTCCGACCACACTTTGAGAACCCATGTCCTGCAACATTCCTCGTGCTCTACAGGACACTTCTCTTGTATTACTTTTTGCACTTACAGATTTAGATGATAGAGTGAATCCAACGTCCCCTTTTTTTGAAATCAAGGTCCCAAGAAGCAAGTCCCTTGGCTAAAGTCACCCAGCTGGTTGTAGGGACTCCACTTTACTTCCTTACAACCAACTCGGATGTCTCATTTGTCCTTTTACCAGGCTTTGGTAAGGCTGTGAGAGCACAGAGCTGAATTAGGGATCTTGGACTTCAAGTTACTGACTAGCCCCAGCACTCGCCAAGCTCACAAAGAAGACAGAAACGAGGTAAACATCCAACCATGTTTATGGAAGAGTTCATCTCTCTGTCAGCATTACGTACATGCAGAAAGGTGTAAAAAATCATAACAGCGCTGTTTGCATTTTTCAGAAACGGAACACACCTATATTATGTCTCTTTTTAAGGAGGTTTTTGGGTGGCTTTTGTTTAGAGGCAGAGTAGAATAATAGAAAAACAACCTGGGGTTTACCTTTAGGACTCTCTCTCTCTCTCTTCTGTAAATGTAAGGTTCGGCAAAAAAATTCATTAAACTTTTGTCCACCTTTAACATTCTATGAGTTTTAATGTGTTTGGAAGCTTTGGAAGATTGGATTGCTAGAGTACTGGTCAGGATCATTTCTGTATTTAATAAAATTGGGAGAGCTAGCGAATAAAGCAGGAAGCCTGCCATCTAGTGGCAAATGTGTACATTGCTCTTTTGCTTGGACTCGGGCTGAGTTTTCAGAACCAGAGTCCTTTTCTTCTGGCCCCCACCTTCCTTAATTACAGGGGTTTTAATTGCGCCACAGTTAGACAATACTTAATTGTCTTAGCTACATTGTAATGAGTGAAGGGAATACACTTGTGATTTGGCTGAACGCAGGAGAGAGAGGCCCCTTGCATTCATAGTTAATTGCTTCAAAACTCTGCCTGCGGCTTTGCCATGCCCTCATTCGCACTTTGGGCTAAAATTATAAGGATCCATTAGATACTGTCTCTGCCTCCAGACTTCAGGCTGCAGGGAGGGGGACGCCAGCTGGAGTTTTTTTCTGACAGCTTATTTATTTATTTTTCAGATGGAGTCTCACTCTGTCGCACAGGCTGGAGTGCGACCCTGCAACCTCCGCTCACTGCAACCTCCACCTCCCGGGTTCAAGCGATTCTCCTGCCTCAGCCTCCCGAGTAGCTGGGACTACAGGCGTGCGCCATCACGCCCAGCTAATTTTTGTATTTTTAGTAGAGATGGGGTTTCGCGATGTTGGCCAGGCTGGTCTTGAGCTCCTGACCTCAGGTGATCTGCCCACCTCGGCCTCCCAAAGTGCAGGGATTACAGGCGTGAGCCACCGCACCAAGGGGGATTGGTGGAGCTCTCCCTGCAGCCCACTGATTCTTGGGTGTTTACTGGTGAGATGGGCAGAGGCTCTGGACATGGAGTGGGGCAGGGAGGGGAAGCAGCATCGTGGGCTGGGCTTCGATGGAAGAAGTGGCAGGGTGGCCGGGCACAGTGGCTCACGCCTGTAATCCCAGCGCTTTGGGAGGCCAAGGTGGGCAGATCACCTGAGGTCAGGAGTTCGAGACCAGCCTGGCCAACATGGTGAAACCTTGTCTCTACTAAAAATACAAAAACTAGCCAGACATGGTGGCATGCGCCTGTAGTCCCAGCTACTTGGGAGGCTGTGGCAGGAAAATTGCTTGAACCCAGGAGATGGAGGTTGCAGTGAGTTGAGATCGTGCCACTGCACTCCAGTCTGGGCGACAGAGCAAGACTCCATCTCAAAAAAAAAAAAAAAAAAGAAGAAAAAAAGCAGTGGCAGGGTGGTCTGGAGGCACCGCTGGAGGCGAGTGTGTACGGCGACAGGGGAACCAATGTGGCATTCTGAGGGCTCTTCAAAGTCGCATCCCTTTCATGGTTCCCCACCCAGAGCCTCGTGGTGGTGAATCAGGGAGAGAGAAAAATATCAATAGACAGTCTAGTCCTGGCTGGCAAAGTGTACGGGAAACTGCACAACATGACAGAGGCTTTGGCAGGGGACGCATAAGAGTGGTAGCACCCAGCCTTGAGCCAAGTGGTAGCACCCAACCTTGAGCCCAGGAACCAGTGTACAATGTTATGTGCCCAGGCAAAACTCCTTCTTGAAAAACAAGAATAAAAGGCACCTACAGCTTAGGGGAATAAAATAGAAATTGGTGGATTATAAAATATAAAAGGCTGATAATTACTGGTTTGTTAACTGATTATTAATTTAAAATAATTGGCTGGGCACTGTGGTTCATGCCTGTAATCCTAGCACTTTCGGAGGCCAAAGTGGGTAGATCACCTGAGGCCAGGAGTTCATGACCAGCTTGGCCAACTTGGTGAAACCCCGTCTGTACTAAAAATACAAAAAAATTAGCCAGGCGTGGTGGCATGTGCCTGTAATCCCAGCTACTCAGGAGGCTGAGGCAGGAGAATCACTTGAACCCAGGAGGCAGAGCGCTTGTGAGCCAAGATCGCACCACTGCACTCCAGCCTGGGCAACAGAGCGAGACTTGGTCTCAAATAAAATAGAATAAAAAGTAATTATCGAACATTTCCCAGAGGCCAGGCCCTGTGCTGGGTGCTGGGGCTAAAGGTGGTAGGAACACAGTCCCTACCCTGGTGGAATTTACAGTCTAGCGATGAAGACATTGAACAAGTAATTATACAGCCGTGCATTGCATAGCAATGTTTTGGTCAACCACAGCCTGCAGATACAACAGTGGTCTCATAAGATTGCAGTGGAGCTGAATTACATAGCCTAGTGAGGTCATAGCTGTGGCAACGTCATAGCTCAATGCATTACTCACAGGTTTGCGGTCATGCTGATGTAAACTAACCTACTGCGCTGCCAGGCTTATAAACGTCTAGCACATACAATTACATACAGTGCATAATATACTTAATAACAAATGACTATATGACTCCTTTGTGTATTTACTATACTATACTTTTCATTGTCATTTTAGAATGTATTTCTTCTACTTACAAAATAAAAAAGTTAACTGTAAAATGGCCTTAGGCAGGTCCTTCAGGAGGTATTCCAGAAGTCACTGTTATCATAGGAGGACAGCTCCATGTGTGTTATTGCCCCTGAAGACAGTGGGACAAGATGTGGAGGTAGAAGACAGTGATACTGGTGATCCTGACCCTAACGTGTGTAATGTGTGTGTTCGTGTCTTCATTCTAAGAAAACGTTTTGTACAGATGTACAGTGTGTTTGAGTTTAAGCTAAGTGTTATTTCAAGAGTCAAAAAGTTAAAAAAATAAAAAAAGTTTATATGGTAAAAAAAGTTACAGTAAGCTGGGTTGATTATTTTGAGATAGAGTTTCGCTCTTTTGCCCAGGCTGAAGTGAAGTGGTGTGATCTCGGCTCACTGCAACCTCCGCCCCCGGGTTCAAGTGATTCTCCTGCCTCAGCCTCCCAGGTAGCTGGGATTATAGGCATCTGCCACCATGCCTGGCTAATTTTTGTATTTTTAGTAGAGATGGGGTTTCACCATGTTGGCCAGGCTGGTCTCGAACTCCTGACCTCAGGTGATCCCCCCGCTTCAGCCTCCCAAAGTGCTAGGATTACAGGCGTGAGCCACCGCGCCTGGCAGAGGTTAATTTATTATTGAAGAAAGAAAAATGTTTCTAAAAACAGATTTAGTGTAGCCTAAGTGTACGGTGCTTATGAAGTTTTCAGGAGTCATGTCTTAGGCCTTCGCATTCACCCACCACTCACTCACAGACTCACCCAGAGCAACTTCCAGGCCCGCAAGCTCCCTTTGAGAGGTGACAACGGTACTAGCAGCCCTCACTCGCTCTCGGTGCCTCCTCAGCCTCGGGGCGCTTGAGGAGCCCGTCACTCACCGTTGCACTGTGGGAGCCCCTCTTTGGGCTTGGCTGAGGCCGGAGCCGGCACCCTTTGCTTGCCAGGAGGTGTGGAGGGAGAGGCGTGGGGGGGGGAACCGGGGCTGCATGCGGCGCTGGCGGGCCAGCCCGAGTTCCGGGTAGGCGTGGGCTTGGAGGGCCCTGCACTGGGAGCGGCCGGCTGGTGCCGCCTGCGCGGGGCAGTGAGGGGCTTAGCACCAGGGCTAGCAGCTGCGGAGGGTGCGCTGCGTTCCCCAGCAGTGCCGGCTTGCCGGCACCGCGCTCAAATTCTCACTGGGCCTCAGCTGATTCACTAGGTGAAACCAGCTGGGCTCCTGAGTCTAGTGGGGACTTGAAGAATCTTTATGTCTAGCTAAGGGATTGTAAATACACAAATTAGCACTCTGTATCTAGCTCAAGGTTTGTAAACACACCAATCAGCACCTTGTGTCTAGCTCAGGGTTTATGAATGCACCAATCAGGCGCTGTGTCTAGCTAATCTTGGGACTTGGAGAATCTTTATGTCTAGCTAAGGGATTGTGAATGCACCAATCAGCACTCAGTATCTAGCTCAGGGTTTGTAAATACACCAATGGACACTCTGTATCTAGCTAATCTATTGGAGACGTGGAGAACTTTTCTGTCTAGCTCAGGGATGGTAAACCCACCAATCAGCACCCTGTCAAAATGGACCAATCAGCTGTCTGTAAAACAGACTAATCAGCTCTCTGTAAAATGGACCAATCAGCAGGATGTGGGTGGGCCAGATAAGAGAATAAAAGCAGGCTGCCTGAGGCAGCAGTGGCAACTGGCTCTGCTCGCTTTTCATTCTGTGGGAGCTTTGTTCTTTTGCTTTTTGCAATAAATCTTGCTACTGCTTAGTTTTTGGGTTCACACTGCATTTGTGAGCTATAACACTCACCGTAAAGGTCTGCAGCTTCTCTCCTGAAGCCAGGGAGACCACTAACCCACCAGCAGGAAAGAACAACTCCGGACCCGCCGCCTTAAGAGCTGTTAACACTCACCGCGAAGGTCTGCAGCTTCACTCCTGAGCCAACGAGACCATGATCCCACCAGAAGAAAGAAACTCTGAACACATCTGAACATCAGAAGGAACAAACTCCGGACACGCCGCCTGTAAGAACTCTTAACACTCACCGCGAGGGTCCGCGGCTTCATTCTTGAAGTCAGTGAGACCAAGAACCCACCAATTCCGGACATACCTTCATAGTAAGTGCCCTATACAGATGAACCATTTTTTCTCTTTTATACTGTTTTTATTGTACTTGTCCTATGTTTAGATATGTTTAGATACACAAATGCCTACAGTATTCAGTACAGTAACATGCTGCACAGGTTTGCAGCCTAGGAGCAAAAGGACCGTATAGCCGAGGTGTGTTGTAGGCACTAGGTTTGTGTAAGTGCACTCCATGATGCTCACACGATGACAAAATTGCTTAACGTATTTCTCAGAACATGAAGTGATACATGACTATGTCATATACACATCAAGTGATACATGACTATGTCATACACATCAAGTGATACATGACTATGTCATATACATCTAGGGAGTCAGTGACACTGGTGATCCATGTGAGTTAGCAGGGAAGATGTGTGTGTGTGTGTACCCATCCACATATGGTTGGGTGTTCCAGGCAGAAATAAAAGCAGGTGCATAGTGCTGAGACAGCAGGAGCAGGGTGTATCCAGGGAACGAAAGAGGACCAGTTAGTTCTTCTGAGAGGGAGGGAGAGCGGATGAGATGAAGCTGGAGGGTCAGGAAGGGGCCAGTTCACAGCGTTGTATAACCTGCATCCTAGAAGGGTGGGAGGCAAGAAGAGGTACACGATCAGATTTGCATTTTGAGGCCGGGCGCAGTGTTCACACCTGTAATCCCAGCACTTTGGGAGGCTGAGCCAGGCAGATCACTTGAGGTCAGGAGTTCGAGACCAGCCTGGCCAACATGGCAAAACCCCATGTCTACTAAAAATATAAAAATTAGCCAGGCATGGTGGCGGCTGCCTGTAGTCACAGCTACTTGGGAGGCTGAGGCAGGAGAATCACTTGAACCCGGGAGATGGAGGTTGTAGTGAGCCGAGATCTTGCCGCTTCATTCCAGCCTGGGCAACAGAGTGAGACTCTGTCTCCAAAAAAAAAAAAAAAAAAAAAAAAAAGATTTGCATTTTGAAATCTCACTCTGGCGGCAGTGTGCTGGACAGACTGCACAAGGGACAAGGAGGGGCCAGAGGAGACAAGGGGAAGCCAGTTAGGAGAGTGCTGAAATAACTCCAGGGCAAGGTGGTGGCAGCCAGAGAGAAGTGACAAAGGAGTAGAGAGGCTGGGCACGGTGGCTCCCGCCCGTAATCCCAGCACTTTGGGAGGCTGAGGGGGGAGGATCACTTGATGCCAGGAGTTCGAGACTGGTGTGGGCAACACAGAGCTATCCCGATCTCTACAAAAAGTAAATAAACAAAAAATTAGTTGAGCATGGTGGTGCCTGTAGTCCCAGCTACTTGTTTTTTGTTTGTTTTTCTGAGACAGTGTCTTGCTTTTTCGCTTTGTCGCCTCAGGCTGGAGGGCAGTGGTGCAATCTCAGCTCACTGCAACCTCCGCCTCTCAAGCTCAAGCAAGTCTCCCGCCTCAGCTTCCCGAGTAGCTGAGATTACAGACCTGCGCCACCATGCCTGGCTAATTGTTTGTATTTTTAGTAGAGACGGGGTTTCACCATGTTAGTCAAGCTGATCTGAATTCCTGACCTCAAGTGATCCGCCCTTCTCGGCCTCCCAAAGTGCTGGGATTACAGGCACGAGCCATGGTGCCCAGCCAGTCCCAGCTACGTGGGAGGCTGAGGCAGAAGGATTGCTTGAGCCTGGGAGATGTTCAAAGCTGCAGTGAGCTGTGATGGTGCCTCTGCACTGCAGCCTGGGTGACAGAGCAAGACCTTGTCTCTTAAAAATAAAAAAAAAAAATGAAAAAGAAGAAAGAAAGAAAAAAAAGAAAGGAGGGAGGAAAAAGAAAAGAAAGGAAAAGAAAAAGAGAAAAGGGAAGCAAAGGAAAGAAAAGAAAGAGTGGAGAGAGCCTGGGGTTTTCAAGCCCGCCTAGTGACCCCATCTCCAGGGTATCTGCAGGCTCCTGGAATGAGGGGCTGTGATTGTCAGGACCTTGGTAAATGCCTGTGCATGGTGGCTAAAGGAGACAGGCTCCTTTGGTTCTGAGCAGTGCCTGAGAGAATCATTCTTTTAATATAAAGAATAAGACAAGTTTGCCTGTTATCACTGCTAATGTTGAACATTTTTTGGAAGTCCTTACGAATGAAATAAGAAAAGAAATGAAATAATCTGTATGAGTATTACCAAAGAAGGAAAAATCATATTTTCTTTTTCTGGTCTGGTAGAATTGAAAACCCAGTCTAATAGCAAATTAGTAGAATTAATAACGATTAAAATTAATAATAGAATTTTGTAAAGTGGCTATGTGTAAGATAAATGTACAAAAATCAATAGCTTTTTTCTATACTAACAAATGGAGAGACATTCCATATTCATGGATGAAATGACATAAAAATATAAACTCTTCTAAAGTTAACATATAAATGTAATACCCTTCCAATCAGAATCCCAACGTGTATGTGTTTTCGTGTGCTTAAATCAGGATGCAATGATTTTAATTTGGGAGGCCAAGGTGGGCAGATCACACGAGGTCAGGAGTTTGAGGCCAGCCTGACTAACATGGTGAAACCCTGTCTCTACTAATAATACAAAAATTAGCCAGGTGTGGTGGTAGGTGCCTATAACCCCAGCTACTCAGGAGGCTGAGGCAGGAGAATCACTTGAACCCGGGAGGCGGAGGTTGCAGTGAGCCAAGATCGCACCACTGCACTCCAGCTTGGGCAACAGAGCGAGACTGTGTCTCAAAAAATAAATTAAAAAAATATTTTAAGCACTCATCTTGTTGATTAGGTTGTTTAGATTTTGACATATATGCTTAATTTTTGTCCATTTGACCTGTCTCCTACTGAGAATGGTGCGTTTAATTCTCCCTATAGGTATTTTTCTCTATTTTTCGTTGCTTTCCCTCTAGCATCTGCTTTATATAAGTGTAATGTGTACTATCTCCACCGAAGGACAACCACTATCTTGACTTCTCATCTTGCACATTAATGATTTGCATGTTTTGTCTTTAAATAAATGGAATCACATAGCATGTATGCTTTTTGGTTCTGACTTATTTTATTCAGCGTAATTTTTGTAAGACTCATTCATATTGTTGCATGTAGTTATAGATTGTTCATTCTCAGTGCTGTATTGAATCCCGTTGTGTTTATATGCTACAATTTATTTATCCCATCTACTGTTGATGGACTTGTGGGTAGTTTTGAGTGGTGTGCTATTACAGAGCTGCTACGGGAATTCTTGTGTGTATCCTTTGGTGCATATTTGTATGCATGTCTCCTGGGCATTAACCTAGGAGTGGAGTTGCTGGGTTGCAGGTGGCAATCAACTTTTGATGTCTCACTCTTAAATATGAACAGACAGCCAAGGTCACCCAGCATTTGAGGAATGCCCTCTGCGTAAAATAAAGACACAAGCAAACACACACTCAGCAAACAAACCAACAAATATGAGTGTGCTTAGTCCCAAGGAGCCTCACCCTTTCCCTCGCCTGATACTCCTGTTACCTTCCTCACATGTCGCTATAAGAATAAACATCGTAGTGGCTCCAGTCACCATAGCTGGACTCATAGATTGGATGGGATGTACAGTTGGGTCATCAGACAGGTTTGTCTCATTTCTCCACTTTTGAACCAGACGCTGGCATACTTTTCCTTTTTGGCCTTGGTGTCATACATGGAGACTTTTCTCAGCTTTGGTACACACTGTCCTGGTTACATCCATTACACCACATGCCACGAAGGCAGTGCTGGCTGCAGAGCCAAATGGGCGGTTTCCCAGAGGAGGGACAACTGGGAGGTGGACTTGTTGGTTTTGGCCAAGATGATGTTACTTCTGGCTTCTCCAGTTGGATGTATGACCTAGAGGCCTGATTCATCAAGAGAGAAGTCCAAATCTTGCTAGGAGGAAGAAGTATAGGGAAAATCATGGTTATAAGCTGCATTTGGCTATAGGCTAGTTTGGACCTTGTTGGAGGTAATATTTACCCAGCACATGTTGTTGGAATTGATGCAGTTATAATAAAGCTGGTTCTTGTTCTTGGCCATTAATTCCAGAGCTCTGTCCTGAATTAACAGACCTGTAGAGATTGTGCCACGGAACTGTTTTAATCTGGTGTAGTCTTTGTAAAAAGAATATTTAAGGACTATGGGGAAAGAATCAATGCTTTTCCAATACTGAACCTTTGGCCTGGTTCCAGGGAGGGGTCCTTGCCCCAACCTCCATCTTTGAAGGGATGGTGTAGAGAACAAAAGCGTGGCTGAAGCTGATGATGCCTTCATTAGCACAGGATCCTGAGGGCTGGGAAAGGAATGGATTGAGTCAGAGACACAGTGCCCAGCTGGGGACATGGAGCTGGCCCGTGGTGAGTTCTAAAGGTATGAGGAAGGAAGCCAACCAGTGACCACTCTATCTCGGGTGGAGAAAACTTTGGGAAAGGAAACTCTAAAACTTTACTTTTGGGGTGCCCATTCCCTGGAGTCCCCTCACCTTGGGCTCTTGTTGGGTTATTGTATTAATCTGGCAGGGCTGCTGTAACACGATACCACAGACTGGATGACTTAAACAACAGAAATTTACTCACAGTTCTGGAGGCTAGAAGTCCAAGATCGAGGTGTCAGCAGTTTTGGTTTTTTCCAAGGCCTCTGTCCTTGGCTTGTAGATGGCCTTTCCTCTGTGAGTGAACATCCCTGGTCGCTCTTCCTTTCTTATAAGGACACCAGTCATACTGGAGTAGGGCCCACCACATGATCTCATTTAATCTTAATCATCTCTTTAAAGGCCCTACTTCCAAATTCGGCCATATTCTAAGGTACTGGGGATTAGGACATTAGTGTATAAATGCGAGGGTGACACAATTCAGGCCATACCAGTCATCTGATGAGGAGATGATCTGACCAGGTGATGTGGCACACCGCACAGGCCAGGATTCCTAGATTGCTTGGGTTAAGTTGTTCATGGCCTTGAGTCATGGTCCTGGGGTTCAGGAACAAACCTGCTGATAATGTGTGTTGTGCAGGATCTAAGGTTGGGGGAATGGAGGAAATAACCCACCAAGGAGGTTTCCTGTCCCACCCAAGTCAGATCTTGTCATGTGTTCTTGAGAATTGGACTTGGACTTACTGGAGGCCCAGATTCTGTCACTGCCAGGTGAACGATAAACACGAGGATGAAATGGCATCTAGCTACCTTGCGTCAGATTTCTCTGGACTATGGGATGTTACCTTTTAGAAGTTTAATCTTGGCTTACCTCAATCCAAGTATATTCTCTCTCTCTTTTTTTTTTAAAGACAGATAGGTTTAACACAAAAATAAATATGGTTGTCTCAAAGACTGGAACCCAAAATTTGCTTTCATTTTAAAGATAAAACCTGAGTCTTCAAAAGAACAAAATTTGGTTGAAACCTCTAGAAACTCGGGGGATGTGCTGTTATTCTTTTCTGTCGGAGGCAGCGCCTCTGAGATACTGAGCTCATCCCTGCTGTAGGGTTTTTGCCCCAGCTGTGTCGGCTGCTCCACTTGCTCTTCCTCCAGGTCTTCACGAGGTGAGTCCTCATCACTCAATCTCTGTTAAAATGTCCCTTCCTTCCTGACCACCCAGCAGTGTGGCTCCCCAGGTGCGGCCTTCCGTTTACTTCCTCAGTGGCATTTATCAGTGTCTGATATTTTCATGTGCATTCTTGATTGATTTGTCTTCTCTCTCCCTCTATTAGAAAGTAGGTTCCACCAAAGCAGCCAACAATCTCCCTCTTTTACTGCTGCATTTCAGCACCTAGAACAGTACATGGAGTCAGGCACCCGGCAGGCATTCTCCAATGCTTTGTTGAGTGGATAAGTGAGCAAGTCACTCTGAGTAAGCTGGGCCACTCCATTCATACAGATCTTCAATTTGCCAGGACATTGCATTCCCCAAGCATTCTGAAATGTTGGCAGCTGCTTGTGTTGGCCTTGAGGGCTGGGATATAATTATCCCTGTTAACTTTAAGAAGAAAACCACACACAAGATTTATAAATGCAGAAAGGAGAGAAGAGTTTATTTCTTATAACGGGGGTACAGCAGGCTGGAAAGGGTGCCTCTGGACAAGACCAGAGACAGGCATTTCGAAGGAGGAAGGCTTGGGGTAGGAGCTTTATGCTGAACAGGTTGGCTAAACATACATATTCAACAGGTTACAGGAGGAGCTGTGAATATTCATGAGGCAATCCTGATGCATGTGCATTGAACGAACATGCATGTAACATATGACCCACTTTGGGGTGGGGACATAACTTTTAAACGTATTATGATTAGGCCCTATACATCAGAAGGTCTTTTCAGGATCCAGAAACATGCAAGTGTGCAGTCTCTGTAAACTGGCCAGAACCAGTCCATGGTTGGTGGTCTTATCTGGAGAAAGTTACTGAAATCAGTCTCTTGTCCAGTCAAAGCTGTAGTTACGGCTTGTGGAACAAGGGTCAGGTAGTTAGCCTCTGTGAGCTGGATGAACTGTAATTGTTTTAATATTGCTTATCTCAAGGCCAGCGCTCTAGTTTAGCTGCTAGAGAAAAAGAAAAACCTTGTGGCAGTTGGGACATAGTTTATTCTATAAGTGTAGGAGTGGGTGACTTAACCTTTGCCTGGCATGGCCTTAGGTTCTGTTTATAATTTGATACCTTATTGCCACAAAGAATCTGTTCTGTCAGTTTTAGAATCTCTGTTTTAACATTAAGGCTTGTCAGTTGTTGTGTCTAAACCAGAAGAGGGAGGGGGTGTAACGAGGTGTCTGATCTTCTGTCCCGTCATGGCCAGGAAGTCAGTTTTAAGGTTTTAATGGGGTCCCCTTGGCCACAAGGGGATCCATTCAGTCAATGGGGGGGCTTAGGATTTCAAGTTTATACCCCAAAGAACAAGGCAGATTCTAGTTTCTTAAGGCTCACAAAATGGAAAGAGCCCTTCCTTATTCAGCTCTTCTACTGCTGTGTTAGTCCGTTCTCACATTGCTATCAAGAACTACCTGTGAGTGGGTAATGTATAAAGAGAAGAGGTTTAATTGACTCACAGTTCCACAGGCTGTACAGGAAGCGTGGCTGGGGAGGCCTTAGGAAACTCACAATCATGGTAGAAGGCAAAGGGGAAGCAGGCATGGTCTTCACATGGCTGGCAGGAGAGAGAGAGCGAAGGGGGAAGTGCTACACACTTTTATACAACCAGACCTTGTGAGAACTCACTATCATGAGAACAGCAAGGGAGAAATTCACCCCAATGATCCAATCACCTCCCACCATGTCCCTCCCCCAACTTTGGGGATTACAGTTTGTCATGAGATTTGGATGGGGATATAGAGCCAAACCATATCAATTGCTTTTCTTCAGTTTCGGCCATTCTGGTCCTGTGGTCCAAGAAATACACCCAAGAGGTGGGCTGATGGGAGAAGGCCCAAGATCAGGCACAGGAGCTGAATTTCCCTTCCTATCTACTCCCTCCTCTGTGTTCCTCCACAGATCACGCCCCATATCCTGTGAACCCAGCAGCTGCTTCATACCACCCAGTGCGAGAAGGGAAGGGAACACCGAGGGCACACTTGAGTGGGTACCCCAGTCCCTGCCATGACATGGGATCTTAAGGAACAGAGGGGCCTACACTCACTTAGCCCACCAAATCCCTTGCCTCTGCATTTTGGAAATCCAAGGGCCTTCACACTGCCAGCTGGGGGCATATATCTCAGTCTAATTCCCAAATATGAATGATATACAGAGCACTGCGCAGGGTATTGTGGGTAGGTGGGAGCCTCAAAGATGAACACAGTCTCAGAGTAAGGACGAGGAAAGCCTCACGCATGAGTGACTGTAACTCAAGAAAGGATACATGAAGGCAAGTTGTGAAAACAGTTACTCTTTTAAGGCCTTCTGAAGAGACTGGTTAAAGAAGAGATCTTTATGCAGACTTGGGGTAGTGACAGGGAGATGAGGTCTGGATGGGGCACCCTCATCCTAGCAGACACCAGACCCACTCTGACTTTGGAGAAGTCATCTCTCCTATCTGGGCCTAACTGGGGGGAAAGAAATACTAGATCCCTAACCTACCTTTTGTACTCCCCAAAATTTGTGAAAGTTCTAGAAGAAATCAAGAAGTGGGGGAAGCTTTCTCAGCAGGGCATAAAACCCCAAAGAAAGGAGATTGATATAGTACATGACTCATAAAAAAATTTTAAACATCACTGTGGGAAAAAAATACCATACATAGTCCAAAGACCAAGGACTGCCTGGGAAAATATATCTGCAGCATATTCATTGGGCAAAGATGTCATTTCCTTCTTTTACAAACAACATATGCAAATTGTCTTCGATGGGACTCATTTCCCTATCTGTATGAACATCTTGGTGAATGCTTGGTGACCAGTGTTCACCAAGAGCCCAGACTTCATGGACATTGCCCACTCTTTGAGGCTTCTTGGGGGTGCATATGGCTTAGGCATGGCTGGGAAGAGCAGGGATCACTTACCGGTCTCTGGGGAGCAGAACCCTGCCTGGCTGCCTGCCAGCTGACCCCAGCCACCGGGTTGTCCCTAATCCAGACTGGTTTCTGAGGATGAGCGGTGTGGGGTAGGGCAGAGCAAGATCAGGGCTGTGCCCACTGACACTCACCTGCACCCCATGTTCAAGGCCCCTGAAGACTATTTTCCAGTTGAGCCTAAAGCTGAAGAAAATTGTTCGTTTGTTGAGCTCCAGGTGCAAGGCACATTTCTCTCTACTTACTGAGCACCTCGTGTGTCAGACACTGTTGGGTACTGAAAGGTTCCCAGGCACAGAGAGCTGAACGTCCTGAGAAGAGCCTGATGCTCGAGTCACGTCTGAACCTCCTACCTGGGAGACCAGCTCATTCCAGTTTGCCCAGGGCTTTGCTACCTCCCAAGAAACCCCACAGTCCCAAACAAACCAGGATAGTTAGTCACCCTAAGCCTAGCTGAGCCTCTGTCTCACCTGAACAGCTTTTAAAAGTGACAGACTCTGGGCCTTACCACAAGAGCTTCTGTTTGCCTACATCTGAGCAGGGCCCACAGGTCACCCTGAGGCTAAACGGGTTTGGGAGCTACTGATGTGGTCACATTTAAGACACACATGGGAAGTACTTCGAGAGACATAATGGGATGGTTTTGTAGTGGAATACAGGTCTGCTTGCAAAGCCCAGTAACAAGGGCGAGGAAAGAAAGTGACTTTATTTATCAAAACTAGCAATGGGGAAATGACCAGAGTCATATCCAAAGTAACCATTTTGAGTTTCTGGGGAGAAGGCAAGAGCTTAAAAAGGGAAACTTGATCTGGGAGGCAGGCAGGATGTATGTTGAGTACAAGGTCTGTGTGTCTTGTTTCGGTGGCTGTCTTGGGTCTTGGTCCACCTGGAACGTGGGCTGACATCATCTCAACAATAGCTGGGTTGTTGAGTAGCTGCCTGGAGGTAATTGCTGGAATTTTGCAGCTGGGTCTCCAGGCTTGGTCTGTCTGTCTCAAGATTGGTCTGTCTGTCTCAAGATTAACCCCTGGAACCTTCTAAGTAAGCACGTAATTAGATACTAGCATACAGTTAGATAAATGTGAAGAGAGTATATGGTGGGAAAGGGAGGGGTGTGGAGTCTAATTTAAGGTTAAGGGAAAAGGCTTCTACCATTTGCTTCAAGGTTACGTCTCGAGACTAGGGAAGAAAGACAAATGGGGAGAAAGGTTTTAAAATGCATTTTGAAGTGAAACTGCCCAGTTACAATGTGAGACACCTTAAATCCCAGGTCGGCTGCTGTAGCTGTGTGCCCTTGGGCCAGGCGTATAACTTCTCTTGGCTTCAATCTCCTCATTCATAAATGGATTAACAGTGGGACTGATCTCTTAGGGCTGTGGATTCAATGAGCTAATATATGAAAGGGCTTAGCTGAGTTCCTGGTGTGTGGGAAGTACTCAGAGGCTTTACCTGTTCCCTTTACAAGAATCCATGTAGGTTTGATGTGCTTTGGGAGCCCAGAGAAGGGAGTATAAACTTCCCAGGGAGATCCAAGCATTAGGCATTTAAGATGGGACATGAATAAGAGTTCCTGAGGCAGCAAAAGGGGAAGGGCATGTATGTATAAGGATATGAAGGTTGTCAAGGGCTGACCCTGTGTGGCTGAGCAGAGGTGAACAGGGAAGAAACCCTGAGGAGGGGAACTGGGACGGGGCCTTGTCTCTGGGCCTTGAATACACAGGAAAGGCTGGCACATGGGGAGACATCGAATGTTATCATCAAGGAGAAGTGGGATCAGATTTGTGATTCAGACAGATCATGTTGGTGTGTGGGGGAGGACAAGTGAAGGGCTGCTGGAATGTTCCAGGTGAGATATAATGAGGGTGTGAACTCACTCTGGACAGTGTGGCTGAAAGAGGGATGAAGGTGTCATCTCGCCGTCCAGCCCAGCGCAGGCAGGTGACCCAGAGCACTGCCTCCCCAGCCTGGTCACACAGAGCGGCTGTCTCACTGCTGCCAGTGCCCCATGGCTCTGCAGCCTGGACTTGGCTAGCCTTCCCCCCCCTCCCTTGGTGATCACCCTGCGTCCACTGCAAGGCTCTTCTTACCTCTTCATCTGATCTGATGGCCCAGCTCCAAGCGCACCTGTGGGGAATGGGGACTTCCCTGGTTTTCATCCAGATGAGGGAGAAGGTCTGCGTTGCACACCTCACGGTAAAATTCCTTAGAATCTCCTTCAAACCTCATCATTCTTTCCTCAGTTTCTCTTCAGGTGCCAGGCACCCGTTTCCTCTATTTCCCTCTTTCTGCCTTTATGGCTTTTAAAATCTTTCTTCATGCCCTGAGCGATTAAACTCTGGCTCTCAGCTTGGGGACCGAACTTGTTAGATCAAAAGCCCAATTGTTCGTCGGCCCCATCACTTTAGAATGCAGGTTAGGGACTATCTTTGTATACTCAGACACATATATAGGACACAATTTACCAAAGTACCAAAAAGCAAATGAACAACGATAGTGACAGCAAACCCCACAGGCTCTGCCCCCAGGGCAGGGCTGCGGAGTAGGCCCGACTGTGGTACATCTGTGTGTGCTGCTGGTGGGGTTCCGCATGCCGACATGCAGGGTCTTCCTTCCCACGTGGGATGCCTTTTCCAGAAATGCTTCAATTTAAAGGGAAGGGGAAATGTGTGTGTGTTTCTGGGAATTGGCTTTTATTTTATTTTTTAAAATAGAGACAGGGTCTTCCTATGTGGCCCAGGCTGGTCTTGAGCTCCTGGGGTCAAGGGATCCTCCTACCTCAGCTTCCCAACGTGCTAGGATTACAAGGATTACAGGCATGAGCCACCGTGCCTGGCCGGAACTGTTTTTTGTTTTGTTTCGTTTTATATGGAGTCTTGCTCTGTCGCCCAGGCTGGAGTGCAGTGGTGCAGTCTTGGCTCACTGCAACCTCTGCCTCCTAGGTTCAAGTGATTCTCATGCCTCAGCCTCCAGAGTAGCTGGGACTACAGGCACGTGCCACCACGCCTGGCTAATGTTTGTATTTTTACTAGAGATGGGGTTTTATCATGTTGGCCAGGCTCGTTTCAAACTCCTGACCTCAACTGATCCACCTGCCTCTTAGCCTTCCAAAGTGCGGGAATTACAAACGTGAGTCACCGCGCCTGGAGCTGGTTTTTCAAAACTGATTTTTAGACCTTGTAAATCCCGGGAATGAACCACCTTCACAGCCCCCAGAAGAAAGAAGGAAAGAAAGACAGAAAGAAAGAGAGAGAGATAGAAAAAGATAGAGATCATAAAATGGAGGTGGCGGCCAGTCTAAAGAACCATTTGCAGTTCTTTAGCTTCGGGTTTGTGAGGCTGAATTGGGATCCCAGGAGTATGGGCCTGCCCCTGCACCAGGAGAGCTGAGCCCTGACCCTGGCCCTCCAACCCCTGCCAGCCCCCTGCCTCAGGCACAGAAGCAATTCCTGGAAGCAAAGCAGAAACTCATCCAGGTAAAAAAAAATAACATTCAGGACTCATCAGTTTGCAGGGATATTTTCCTTTTGAAAAACTCTAAATCCTCATAAACAGAATTAAAAGACAAATGGCAAACAAGAAAAAGCTGTCTGTACAAATATGACAAAATGGTTATCAATCCATGAGGGCAGCACTAAAATTGAATGGGGAAAAACAGCAGTGGACTGTAATTTATAGAAGAAATAAAAATGCCATTCAGCTACAAAAAAGATTCACCCTCTCTAGTAATCAGAGAAATACATATTAAAATAAGACATAATTTTTATCAATCAAATTGACAAATGTTTATAAATAAAATGTAGTATGTACAGTGACAAAAGTACTCGGACAATTTTGTCAGAATGTGAACTGGTATTATCTTTCTGGAAAGACACCTGGCAATTTTTATCTATCTAGAGCTCTTAATTTTATTTATTTTAGAGACAGGGTCTCTGTCACCCCAGCTGGTGGAGTGCAGTGGCGCAATCATGTAAACTCAAACACCTGGGCTCAAGAGATCCTCTTGCCTCAGCCTCCCAGGTAGCCAGGACTACAGGTAGGTACCACCATGCCTGGCTAATTTTTGTATGGGGACAAGGCCCAGGCTGATCTCAAACTCCCGGCCTCAAGTGATCCTTTTGCCTGGGACTCCTGAGGAGCTGGGATTATAGTATTTTGCCACCACAGCCAGCCTTATCTAGAGCTTTTTAAAGGGTCTCCACATCAGCCTAGTAACTCCAAGTGTCAGAATCTTTCCTAAGGAAACAATTAGCCACTCAAGCGAGGATGTTCATCATGGGATTGTCTATGACAGCAAAAAAATCAAAAATAGGGCCGGGCACGGTGGCTCACGCCTGTAATCCCAGCACTTTGGGAGGCCGAGGCGGGTGGATCACCTGAGGTCAGGAGTTCGAGATCAGCTTGGCCAACATGGTAAAACCCCATCTCTACTAAAAATACCAAAAATTAGCCGGGCGTCGTGGTGGGTGCCTGTAATCCCAGCTACTCAGGAGGCTGAGGCAGGGGAATCGCTTGAACCTGGAAGGCGGAGGTTGCAGTGAGCCGAGATGGCGTTGCCAGCTGGGCAGCAAGAACAAAACTCCATCACACACACACAAAAAGAAACAGGGTCTTACAGATGTGATTAAATTAAGATTCTTGTGACGGGAAGATTATCCTGGATTATTTGGGTGGGCCCTAAATGCCATCAAAGTGTTCTTCAAAGAGGGAGGCAGAGGGAGATTTGACATAGACAGAGGAGGAGGCGGCAATGTGAGCACAGAGGAAGAGATTGGAGCGATGTGGCCGTAAGCTGAGGATGCAGCCAACCCCAGAAGCTAGAAGAGGCGAAGGACGGATTCTCCCTTCCAGCCTCTGGAGAATGCTCCGCCCTGTCACACCTTGAATTTGGCCCAGTGATAAGGATTTCAGACTCCTGGCCTCCAGGGCTGTGAGAGAAGAGATGACTGCTGTGTGTTTTTTTTGTTTTGTTTTGTTTTTTTTGAGACGAAGTCTCGCTCTTGTCCTGCAGGCTGGAGTGCAATGGCACCATCTCAGCTCACTGCAATCTCCACCTCCCAGGTTCAAGTGATTCTCCTGCCTTGGCCCCCCGAGTAGCTGGGATTACAGGCATGTGCCACCATGCCCGGGTAAGTTTTGTATTTTTAGTAGAGACGGGGTTTCACCATGTTGGCCAGGCTGGTCTCGAACTCCTGACCTCGGGTGATCCATCCGCCTCGGCCTCCCAAGGTGCTGGGATTACAGGTGTGAGCCACCGCACCTGGTCAGATGACTGCTGTTTTAAGCCACCAAGCTGTGGTAATTTGTGAAGACAGCCACAGGAAATAAACACCCCCTCCAAATACAGGGAATCTGACATCTGACATGTTCCTGTAGTAAGGCCACTGCCCGACCTCCCTCCTTCCTGCCGGTTCCTGCCTCCGCTTCTCTCTCCTGCCCTAGATGAGCCACCATGATGAGGGGGAAGGATGAAGAGGTGTCTACACCGGGAGGGACGGGATGGTAGGGAGGAGGGTAGGGAGCACACATCTCCAGGTTTGTATTGGTTCTGCAACCCGAGAAGTGAGTTCTCTTTTTTTTCCTTGTATCCACACATACGCATTCAGGGAAAGATTCTGATTGGTCTTCTTGGGTCTAGTAATCAACTCTTAGGCCAATGAGTGTGTCCAGGGCTAGGGCCCAGCACTCTGATTGGCAGCCTCAACAGAATCCCATGGACTCTGAGAAGGACATCACCCCCAAAAGAGCAGATGAAAGGGATGTTGGGCAAAGCAGCAGAAATAGTGAAAAATCTGTATTTGCTCTATAAACAGAACACTGGGCTGGGCACGGTGGCTCACACCTGTAATCCTAGCACTTTGGGAGGCCAAGGCGGGTGGATCACCTGAGGTCAGGAGTTTAAGACCAGCCTGACCAACATGACGTCTCTACTAAAAACACAAAAATTAGCCGGGTGTGATGGTGCATGCCTGTAATCCCAGCTACTCGGGAGGCTGAGGCAAGAAGATTGCTTGAACCTGGGAGGCAAAGGTTGCAGTGAGCCGAGATCGCTGCCACTGCACTCTAGCCTGGGCGACAGAGAAAGACTCTGTCTCAAAAAAAAAAAAAAAAAAAAAAAAAAAAAGAACACTGTAGTCTTCCATAAGCTTTGCTAGAATCCCTCTGAGTTTTCAAATAATAGCCAGGATCATAGATTGTTAGAATGTGAAGTAATAGCAAAGGTCATCTGGTCCAATCCCCTCATTTTACTAGGAAACCGAGGCCCAAGGCAGGAGAGTAACTTTCCCTAAGGCTGCACAGCTAGTAAGCTGCAGAGCTGGGGCAGAATCTAGTTCCAATTCATGGCCAAGTGCTCTTTCAGCTTCTCTGTCCCCATCAGCGGTTAGCACGCTATCTATCCTCCAGCACCTGCTACGCTGAATCGGGCCCAGGGTCTGGACTGGGGAGGGTGGCTAGCTTCTGAATCCCCAGAACAGGCCAAGCTGCCTCCTCTTCTGACCTCCTCTACTCCAGCCTAGCAGGCTGGGACACAAGACACTCTGGAACGGCTGGAAGGACTGGTTCTCCTGGGGACATCCTCCACTTCAAGTACATACTGAAGCAGGTCCTGGCCACCAGCGTGTACCTCAACCTCCTCGCCAGGCCCCTCAACTCCAAGGCTGGGGGGCTGCTGGCAGCTTCAAATTCATTCCCAAGTACAAGATGAAAATTCAGTCTAGGAAGATGGCTCCCCCGGACAGCCCCCAGGATAGCTAATGAGGCCAGGGGAAAGGGCCCCAACAAACCAGGTGAGGCAAAGAAGGACCCTCCCAACTCGGGCAAGGTGAAAAAAGCAGCCAAGAGGCCAGCAGAGCTGCCGACGTCTCCCAAATTAGATGCAGCCAAGGAGAAGCCCCCACCCCCCCCAGCAGGGCAGTGAGGCTGAGGACACAAAGGCAAAGCCATGTAGGCCTCTTCCTGTGCCAGTGGGCTCAGCAAGAAGCCAAAGGCCAAAGGCAGCAGGAGCAGCTAAGGAGACGCTGAGGCTCACAGGAATATCAAAGCTGGGAGTAAGAGTTCAAAACCCACGGCTAGCAAGGTCAAGAACGGTGCTGCTTCCCCCACCAAAAAGAAGGTGGTGGCCAAGGCCAAGGCCCCTAAAAGGGCAGCTGCCCAGGGTGCTGGGCAGGAGCCAAACACCAAGGCAGCTTCTCCTGCTAGGGGCAGTGGGTCCAAGGTGGTGCCTGCACACCTGACCGGGAAGACAGAGGCCTCCAAGGGCCTGAGAAAGCCTGGGTTGTCCATCAAGGCCTCATCATCCAAAGTGTTCAATCAGAGGGCTGAGGCCTAGCGCCGGGGTGGAAATGGAGAGAGATTGAGCCTCTGCCCTAGTTTTTATTCCCCAACAAACCCACTGCTCTGTTTGTATAATTGTAAGCTATTTATCAATAAAGACTTTTATTTCTTTTCCCACCCCTTGCCCCCAGAAAGAAGCCCAGGGCAGGAGAGTAGCTATCCCCAAGGTGACACAGCTAGTAAGCTGCAGTTGGGGCAGGATCTAATTCTGATTCGTGGCCCAGTGCACTTTCTTCTTTGTCTTCTTGGGTCAGGTGTCTCTGTGTCTGTCAGCAGACCTCCGGTCCCTGCTATCCTGAAAGGTGTTTTTGTCTCTCTTTCTCACTCCACCTCCCCATCTGGGAAGACACAGATGTGTTCCCGGAAAAATGCACTAAGATCCAGCATTTCAGCTCCAGTTGTGCCACTCTTATGATGTGATTTTTGGCCCCAGTTTCATTATCTATCGATTAGGGACAAGAATTTTTACTGGAAAGCATCATTCTGAGGACAATGTGGAATGTATCTGAAATTGCCATCCCTGTGACTGTAATAATATTCCATACACAGTTGTCAAGTTTTCAATTACAGGCAATGACTTGACTGAGATTCCCTAAGATCGTCTGTTTGCAGGGCCTCAGCCCATTGAAATGAATTTTCTTTGCTACTTACTTAGTTTCAGGCCATCTGCAACTTTGTCCTTCCTTTTTCCAAGTCTATGTGGTAACTAAACTTTTCTGCACCTAATCATTTTTTTTGATGTTGATCAAGATCAAACCAGATCAAAATGCTATTTTGCAGCTTTTTTCTGTCTGCTACTCCTTCCTCTGTGGCCCCATCTAATAAAGAAACAACACTTTGCTTTATTCTCTTTTTTTTTGCAATATCTTTGATGACTTTTTCTGAGCCTATTATGTACTCAGTTCATACATTGTTTCAGTTTTTGCTTTGGTTTTCTGGTTTTGTCTCCCTAAGTTTTCAGCAGTGTATCATTTTTTTTTTCTAGCAAAAAAGCTTACATTATAAAAAAGGGAGAGATCATTTCTGAAGTATTACATTGCTTACAGCAATGCATGGGTTCATGGAAAACAAACAATATATGACGGTGACAGTTAATTCTGGGATTTTTGGTTCTCGTGACTTCACTCACTCAAACTTGAATCGACACAACAGTTTTGTTGGTCTGATTTAAGAAAGGAATATATTCTAGTTTGATATTCTACTTGCTTGGTCACGAATTCTTAGATATGACGCTAAGAGCATGATTCATGTAAGAAATGGTTAATAAATTGGACTCCTTCAAAATAAAAAAAATTTGCTCTGCAAAAGACCCTGTTAAAAATAATAATAATAAAAAGCAGGCCACAGATTGAGAGAAAATATTTGCAAACTACATATAGGACTAGTATCTCTAGTATGTATTTTAAAACCCTCAAACTGTAACAGTAAAAAAGTCATCAATTTAATCAGAAAATGAGCAAAAGACATGAAGAGACATTTCACTGAAAAAGATATGCAGATGGAAAATAAGCACATGAAAAGATGTTCAATAGCACTGGCCTCAGGGAAATGCAAATTAAGGCCACAATGAGAAATTACTACACATCTATCGGAACAGCTCAAATGCAAATAAGTGACAATATCAAATCCTGGTGAGGATGCAGAGAAACTGGATCTTCTATATATGGCTGGTGGGAATGTGAAATTGTATAGCCACTCTCGAAAATACTTGATCAGTTTTTTAAAAAAGCAAACATATACTTACCATATGACCCACAAATAGCACTCCTGGGCATTTATCCCAGAGAAACAAAAACTTAGGTCTGTTAGCAGCAGAATGTATCTGAGTCATGTGGCACCAAAGTATGTTACCAACCACAAATCCATACAAGTCTGCAGTAACCTCAATTCTTGCCTCCTCAGAAGAAAGAATTCAATGGAGAGGCATAAGGAGGGAGAGACTGAGGCAAGTTTTAGAGCAGAAGTGAAAATTTACTGAACAGCTTTAGAGCAGGAATGAGACGAAGTAAAGTACACTTGGAAGAGGGCCAAGCAGGCAAATAGAGAGATCCAGTGCACTGTTTGACCTTTGACTTGGAGTTGTATACCTTGGCATACGTTCAGGGTCTTGCCTGGCTTTTTTCCTGATTTTTCCCCTGCAGTGAGCTGTAAGCATGTGTAGTGGCCTGGTAGCACTTGGGAGGGGGCGCATGCGCAGTATGTTTGCTGGAGTTGTACGCATGCTCACTTGAGGTGTTCTTCCCTTATCAGTCTAGCATTCCTAGAGTTAAACTCTGTCATTTTGCCTCTTAGTGCACATGCTTGAGCCCACTCGCCCAATTCTGGAGATCTTATCAGGAAGCTGCTGATCACCAGTTTCAGGTTTTTTCTATCTATTCGGACACTGCCTTTCCCTGGGGCAAGCTGTGACCAAATATTATTTTAGAGAGACAGCTGGCAACTGCCTAATCATCACCTGATGGATGCCTGACATTCCTGGTGTGTGTGTGATGGGGGAACCCTTTCCTGCCTTGTTTATGTCTGACTAGCTACCTACTGTAAGATGTCCACAAAAAACCTGTATATGATTGTTCATGGTTCCTTTATTTTTATAGCCAAACCTGGAGACAATCAGCTGATTCTAAACTCCATATGGAAGTGTAACATAGCTAGAACAGCTCAGATAATTTTGAAACAGAAGAATAATGTTGGAGGACTTATGACTTGATTTAAAGCTTAGTATAAAGTGGCATTATTTACTGAAAATGTCTGGCATCCAAGCAAAATTTACTAAGCATGCAAAGAAGCAAGAAAATATGACCCAAAACAATATATTGATAAACTAAACTTTATCAAAAAAATTTCTGCTTTTCAAAATATACTGTTAAGGAAATGAAAAATAAAGCCAGACTGGGAGAAAACATTTGCAAATCACGTATCTGATAAAAGCCTGTAGCTAGATTACTTAATGAACCCTTAAAACTCAGTAATAACAAGTCAGGCATGGTGGTGTGCATGGGCAATCCCCAGCTATGTGGGAGGCTGAGGTGGGAGGATCACTTGAGCCTGGGAGTTCCAGTCCAGGCTGAGCAACATAACAAGACCCTATCTCTGAAAAATGCAAAACAAAACAAAAAATCAACTCAGTGGTAACAAAACAAACAATAAAAATATGGGTAGAAAATTGGGCATATATTTCACCAAAGATATACAGATGACAAACACATGAAGAGATTGTCAACGTCATTAGTTATTCAGGAAATGTGAATTAAAATGTCAATGAGACACCACACCTCTTAAGAGTGGCTAAAATTAGAAAGTATTGATAAGAATGTGGAGCAACTGGAACTCTCAGACCTTGTAAGGAATGTAAAATGGTACAACCACTTTGGAAAGCAGCTGTGCAGTTTCTAAAACTTTACACATACACATAGAATATAATCCAGCCCCATTTCCCTCCTAGATATTTATTCAAGGGAAATGAAAGCCTATGTGCATTCAAAAATTTGCACATAAATGTTCACTGCTGCTTTGTTTATAATAGCTTAAAATTGGAAAAAATTCAAATGGCCACAAACAAGTGTGAGTGGATAAAAAAACCTGGGGCATATTTATGATAGACTACTACTCAGCAATAAAAGGAGAAAAAGATCACAAAGGGGTATGAGGAAGCTTTGGAGGTGATGACTATGTTGATTATCTTGATTGCAGTGATAGGTTCTCAGATGTGTACATGTGTCAAAACATATCAAACTCTTTACATATTAGCAGTTTATTTTTTTTGTCTTTTTATGAAAGATAGTAATTTAATATCTGGTCTTTTACAAATTTTATTGAAGAAGTAAAAGATAAAACATATTTTCTCCCAAATGAAGAATCTTTCTATTTTATATAAGTGTGCCTGGTCTTCCTCAACAGTTCTGCAAAAATAGATTATTCTCAAACAGGAACCTAGGTAAACAAATGAAATTTATTTGTCATGTAACAGTTTAGATATTACTCTTCCTATATTTTAGGTGCAGTTAGCTTGTGCTATATATACGAATATATAGTATGGCATTAGGGTAAAATCAAGTTAAGGTTATAATTTTTTTTTTTAATTTGTGAAACAGTATTCATTTTTTTCTCTTTATGTGTTTTTTTTAAATTTTATTATTACACTTTAAGTTCTAGGGTACATGTGCACAACATGCAGGTTTGTTACATATGTGTACATGTGCCATGTTGGTGTGCTGCACCCATTAACTCATCATTTCGCATTAGGTATAACTCCTAATGCTATCCTTCCCCCCTCCCCCCACATATTAGCAGTTTATTATAAGTCAACTATAGCTCAGTAAAACTTAAAGAACAAACAAATAAACTTCAGAGAATGTGTTACCACAAAACCTGAAACAAAGCAAAAGGTATTTTTTCAGAAGAAGCTGAGATGTCAGAAGGAATAAAGAACAATGAAAATGATAACTAGTGGGTAAATCTAAATAAATATTGACATCATAATAATAGAACTTAACTCATTTTGAAATATACATGGAATTAAAATATATTACAACAATGGCCTATAAATCAGGAGGGGGAATGGATTTAAAAGGTTCTGAGGTTCTTGCATTTATCCAAGAAGAGACAAATATAACAGTTAATAATAACAGACAAATTCATAGGAGAATCAATATTGTCAAAATGTTCATACTACTGAGGTGATGTACAGATTCAATGCAATCTCATCAAAATTCCAATGGCATTTTTTTTACAGAAATAGAAAAAATAATCTTAAAATTGGTATGAAACCACAGAAGACACCAAATAGCCAAAGTAATCTTGAGCAGAAACAAAGCTGGAGGCTTCACACTTTCTGATTTCAAATCATATTGCAAAGCTATAGCAATCAAACAGTTTGGCACTGGCATAAAAACAGACACATAGATCAATGGAACAGGATAGAAAGTTCAGGAATAAACACATGCATATGTGATCAACTAATCTTTGACAAAGGTAGCAAGAATATATAATGGAGAGAGGATAGTCTCTTCAATACATGGCTTTGGGGAAACTGGATATCCACTTGAGAAATCAAACCAAACAAACCAAAAACAATGGAATCAGATCCTTATCTCACACCATACACCAAAAATCAACTATAAATAGATTAAAGGTATAGACTTAAGACCTAAAAATATAAGATCCTTAAAAGAAAACATAGGAGAAAATCTCCAGTGGTCTTGGCAATGATTTTTGGATAAGATACCAAAAGCAGGCAATAAAAACAAAAATAAACAAATGGGACTACATTGAACTAAAAGTTTCTACACAGCAAAAGAACCAGTCAGCGAAGTGACATGACAGCTCACATAATGGGAGAAAATATTTGCAAAGGGATTAATATCCAAAACATATAAAGAACTTATTCAACTCAGTAGAAAAAACCCTCAAATAACTGCATTTTAAAATGGGCAAAGACCAGCCTGGGAAACATGGTGAAAACCCGTTTCCACAAAAACACAAAAATTAGCTGGGCATAGTGGTGCACACCTGTGGTCCCAGCTACTTGGGAGGCTTAGGTGGAAGGATCACTGCACTTCAGCCTGGGTGACAGAGTGAGACCCTGTCTCAAAAAAAAAAAAAAAAAAGGAAAAATTAAAAAAAATGGGCAATTTGATATTTTTCTGAAAATGACATACAGATGGCTAACAGATACATAAAAAAGGTGGTCAGTGTCTCTAATTATCAGGGAAATACAAATCAAAACCACAAGGAGATACTGCCTCAAACTTGTTAGGATGGCTACTATTAAAAAGTCAAAGGATAACAAATGTTGGTGAGGATGTGGAGGAAAGGGAACCCTTCTCCATTCTTGTGAGAATGTAAATTGGTACAGTCATATGGAAAACAGTACAGAGGTTCCTCAAAAAGTTAACAATATAATTATCATATGATCTAGTATTTCTACCTCTGGATATATATTCATGGAAAATAAAATCACTATATCAAAGAAATATTTGCACTCCTATGTTCACTGCAGCATTATTTATAATAGCCAAGATATGGAAACAAACCAAGTATCCATCAAGGGATGAATGGATTTTTAAAATGTGATATATATATGTATATACATGTACATATATACATATATATATCACATTTTAAATGAAATATATCACATTTAGATGAAATAAGCTAGGCACAGGAAGACAAACGTTGCATGATTTCACTTATACATAAAAAAGTAGAACTCAGAGACACAGAGTACAATGATGGTTTCCAGGAAAGAGGTGGGGGAAATGGGAAATGCTGGTCAAAAGATGCAAA
Source organism: Homo sapiens (assembly GCF_000001405.40). Lineage (NCBI taxonomy): Eukaryota > Metazoa > Chordata > Mammalia > Primates > Hominidae > Homo > Homo sapiens. The sequence goes on along the minus strand of NC_000014.9, from coordinate 76,683,846 downwards.
TTTGCAGTTATAAGATGAATTAGTTCTAGATACCTAACATATAGCATAGTGACTATAATTAATACTAACATTTTACTTAAATATATACAATTTTTGTCAATCATACCTCTAAAGCTGAAAAAAGGAAAATAAATGGACAGAGAGAAAAGGGATGAATCAAGAAAGCATGTTGTAATCCTTATTGTCAGTAGGACATTAGCAAATAAGACATAAGCAGAAATGTGAACGGCACCTGTGCATTCAGTCTTTCTCTCTTATTGTTCTAGAGACCCTTGCCATGGCTGCCATGTGAAGAAGCCTGTGTTGGCTTGTCTTTCAATGATAGATGTAGGGCTCAATTGTCTCTATGCCCAAAGGGCCAGCCAGGTAAGCATTGGAAACAAGCCATCCAGCTGACCAGCAGCTGGCTGTAGAAGCATGAGTGAGCCCAGCCCACACCAGCAGATGAACCTATTGGCTAAATACAGCCCAGATTATGGATCCACAAAATTCTGAGCTGAACAAATGATTGTTGTTTTAAGCCACTAAATTTTGAGGTGGTTTGTTATACAACATGAGCTGATTGATGGAGAAATTGACACCTATAAGTGGGGTGCTGCTGAACTAAAAACCTGAAACATGAGCCATTGTCTTTAGGACTGAGTGACAGAGGATAGAAAAGCAGCAAGGGAACTATTTCCAAAGCTTGGAAAATTTGCAAATAAACAGTTGTGGAGGCTGGAATGTAATGAGGAAACTGCTCTAGAAGGCTGGGAAATTGAGGATCTGTGTTGAATAGTAGTAACATTTGACAAAGCTGTTGTTGCCCATGGTAACTGTATAATAGAAAATAAATCTAATAAACTTGGACATTGGCAAGGTGATTCCCGGAAGAATGTTGAAAGTGTTTTAGAATGTTTTAGCTGCCTGTGATAAGGTATGGGAAGAGAGAGATCAGCTATAGAAAGAATTGTTCAGTTTGCGACAAGAGTAGCTATAGAGAAGTCATAAAGTAATGGGTTGAAAACCAAAACTACTTCTTAATTCTGGTGTTTCAAGCCAGTAAATTATTTTCAAAGTAAGTAATGGCCTCAGGGTAAAGAATTAAGAGCGTAACTGTGGGATCCTTAGATAAGACCTTGATAAGATTTATGGTGGCTCCTAGTAGATCCTCTCTACTAGATAAAAGGGATTTAGTTTGCCAAAATTAGCAAGAGGCTATCTAGGAAAGAATTTTAAATGTGGCTCTATGGCGTGAAGCTGACCAGAATCAGATAAACTGGAAACCCACAAAGTCTTTATGAGAACTGCATTGGCAAAAGCACTGCTGGCTAGGACTAAAAGGCTTTGAGACAATTTGAAATACTATACTTTAATACAAACTAATTCTAGCTATATGCATTAACACAGATAATGACCAGTTAGGCTTATCGTAAGAATGCAAAGTTGGTTTAATGTTAGACCACTGAATAAGGTAATGCATTATAGTAACAGATTAAAGGTGGAATAAACATACAATTTTTTTAAGTGAAGAACTGTTGGCAATATTAAAAATTAGATCATGATAAAAAACTTTTAGCAAATGATGGATAGAAGGAATCATCTTTAACCTAACAGAGGGAAATTAATTATATATTTTCAGAAAAGTACAAAGCATACTTAGTGGTAAAATGTTGAAAGCATTCTGTTTAAGGTCAGGAATTAGATGTAAATGTTAGTTACCATCACTTACATACAATATCATATTAGAAGTCTTAATAATTGTGGTAAGATAAGAAAAACATGTATATAAAATTTGAAAAAAAGTTACCACCATTTTCAAATGATACAGATGTCTATAAAAAATACCAAACTTTTTACAGATACAAATTTAGAATTAATAAGAGTATTTAGCACAGTTAATGGACACAAAATCAATATTCAAGCCAATTGCATTCAGCAACAATCCAAGAGTTCCTCTTGCAGGAGACATATTTACCAGGAGTCTTATAGAAGAATTTTCATTGTGTCTTAGTTTATAATAACAAAAATGGAAAAGAATGGAATAGTTATCAATGGTAAAATAGCTCTATACGTTAGGATATGTTCATACAACAGAAAACTACATACCACTAAAAACTAATAAACTGTAACTGTGTATATGAACAGAGATCATTCTCAAAAACATATGGTCAAGTAAAAAAATCATGTCTTAGAATAATAATACTGTATTGTCCCATTTACATAAAATTCAAAACCAGACAAACCAAAAAAGTATGTATTAATAGCTTAGTGACACATATACAGGAAGAAAATTAAAAGTAAAAACGAATGAAAAACAAAACATTTGAGGTCAGAGAGGTACTTCAAAGATGTGGAAGCTGTTCTATTTCTTAGGCTGGGTGGTGGGTTCACAGGTGTTTACTATTTTTAAATGGTACGTATACATCATTTATATTATTTTCTGTATGATACATTGCATAATTTAAAAGTTTTAAGAAATATTTAGTCTATGGGACATTTCCCCTATGAAGCTTTCACAAAACTGACTTTCCATAGGAACAGGTGGGTACGCCTTTTATTTATGTTCCCACAGATTCACCTCTTTTAAAACTTGTAGCAAATTATCCATCACTGTATATTTGTTGGTGTTCCCACCTAAATGGCGAGATCCTTGAAGACAAGAATTGCTTTTGTTATAAATAAAGTTTTGGTGCTGCAAAAGAAATAGCACTTGAATATAAAATTTTCTTTTTTTCTTCTCAGCAAGGCAAATTACTTCTATAGAAGGGTGTGCCCTCACAGATGGAGCAGTGGTGAGTGCACACCCGAACAAGGGAGGGGAAGGGGGGTCTTATTCCTGACACACGTGGCCCCTGCTGCTGTGTCATTCCCCTGTTGGTTAGGGTTAGACCGCATAGGCTAAACTAATTTCGATTGGCTAATTTAAAGAGAGTGACGGGGTGAGTGGTTTGGCAGGAAAAATGATTATGGCAGAGCAGGAAATCGGAATGAGTCAGGGTGGAGAATGAGCAGGTAATCAGAATGAGTCAGGGTGGAGCAGGTGATTGAAAAGGTTGCTTTACGAGGAAGTTAAGTTTAAAAGTAGAAGGCAAAGAATTGAACATACTGACATTGATTCTTTGAAGAGAAATTTAGAACTCATGTCTAACAATTTTCTTATCTATCTTAGTATCCTTGGCACTTAGCACATGGTCTGGTTAATAGTATGTGCTAATAAAGATTTCTTTTAGGGTGATGAGGGGATTAATTGTTGCTGAAAAGTAGTAAACCATACATATCCTCATGCACATGCATATACACAGCTTATTTTCTTTTCAGATTTGTCTTATATTACAGTCTAGTAATTTTCCAAATCTTGGTTTTTGTTTTTTTTTTTTGAGATGGAGTTTCCCTCTGTTACCCAAGATGGAGTGCAGTGGTGCGGTTTCAGCTTACTGCAGCCTCTGCCTCCCAGGTTCAGGAGATTGTCGTGCCTCAGCCTCCGGAATAGCTGATATTACAGGAAAGGGGTCTCAATCCAGACCACAAGAGAGGGTTCTTCAATCACGCACAAGAAAGAATTCAGGGCGAGTCCACAGTGCAAAGCAAAAGTGAGTTTATTAAGAAAGTAAAATGGTGAAAGTGTTACAGGAAAGGAGTCCCAATCTACATCCCAAGAAAGGGTTCTTGGATCTCGCACAAGAAAGAATTCAGGGTGAGTCTGCAGTGCAAAGTGAAAGCAAGTTTATTAAGAAAGTAAAGGAATAAAAGAATGGCTACTCCATAGACAGAGCAGCCCCGAGGGCTGCTGGTTGCCCATTTTTATGATTATTTCTTGGTGATATGCTAAACAAGGGGTGGATTGTTCATGCCTCCGCTTTTTAGACAATACAAGGTAACTTCCTGATGTTGCCATGGCGTTTGTAAACTGTCATGGTGCTGATGGGAGTGTAGCAGTGAGGACATACAGAGGTCACTCTCGTGGCCATTTTGGTTTGGTGGGTTTTGGCCGGCTCCTTTACTGCAAACTGTATTATCAGCAAGGTCTGTATGGACCTCTATTTTGTGTTGACCTCCTATCTCATCCTGTGACTTAGAATGCCTTACCCATCTGGGAATGCAGCCCAATAGGTTTCAGCCTTATTTTACCCAGCTCCTATTCAAGATGGAGTTGCTCTGGTTCACACACCTCTGAGAAAAGAACAGCTAGAGTAGGGCATTCCCGAAAGTAAGAGGAGGAACACGTCCACCCTAGGTACAATGCTTGTATATATAGGATAAAAAAGATCCTGGGGAGATGTGCTCTGCTACAAGGGTTTGTGATAGAGGATTAATTTTCTTAATGACAATATTTTGCAAGAATCGATATTATCATATTATCTTTAAAGCAAAATTAGGAATGTCTTTGTTCCCAAGGTATCAGGATATTAGGATACTCTCAAGTCTGAGTCTGTTTAGTAAACATGATCAATTTGTTCCTTTAACTGTAAGCATCTAGAGTTTAGGAATACCTAACTTTCTGGGAATGCGGCCCAGCAAGTCCCAGTCTCATTTTCCTAGCCCTCACTCAAGATGGAGTCGCTGTGGTTCGAACACCTCTAACATTAGGATTACAGGCCTCCACCACCACACCCAGCTAATTTTATATTTTTAGTAGAGATGGGGTTTCACCATGTTGGTCAGGCTGGTCTCTAACTCCTGACCTCAAGTGATCCACCCACCTTGGCCTCCCAAAGTGCTGGGATTACAGGTGTGAGCCACCATGCATGGCCTCAACTCTTGTTTTTATCATAATATTTTCTTAAATTCAGAGTTTTCTGGTGTGTGTGTGTGTGTGCACGTGTGTGTGTGTGTGCACGTGTGTGTGTATACACCTGCATGCATGCATACAAAGGCTGAGGAAAGGAGATTGGAGGGGATGAGTGGGGAGAGTGTACAGAGGAAAAGGAGAAGGTGTAGATATTCAAAAGCAAATAATCCCGTTTTCCAGAGTAAAAGCCAGTCTTAGCAAAGCGGGGGTGTAGGTAATGTTAAACAGACCCTTGGAATTCCCCTCAGTTTGTCTTTTGGTCCCTTCCTGCCCCCTACTCTAGCCCTGCTCCCCACCCCCACCTTTCTTGTCTTGTATCTCACTCTCAAAAGACTGACATGTAAATTTCTTTTTAGATGTCAGTTGAGACCTAATGTACTCCTCCCTCATGGACATTTTCTTTTCAACAGGGGACCCCCTAAGGCGGAAAAGCTTGTAAAACTCAAGAAACACAACTCCAAAGTGCTATTTTAGGCACTGTAACAGATTGATGCAGAAAAAAAAAAAAAGAAAGATTTCACTGAAAAGTATCTCCATTTCTGGTTTTTCTTTTTCTTTCTTTCTTTTTTTGGGACATAGTCTCACTTTAGTCGCCCAGGCTAGAGTGCAATGGTGCAATCTTGGCTCACTGCAACCTCCGCCTCCTGGCTTTAAGCCATTCTCCTGCCTGAGCCTCCTAAGTAATTGGGATTACAGGCGCCCGCCACTATGCCTGGTTATTTTCTTTTTCTTTTTTTTTTTTTCTTTTTTTTTTGTATTTTTAGTGGTGATGGGGTTTCACCATGTTGGCCAGGCTGGTCTTGAACTCCTGACCTCAGGTGATCCCCCCAACCTCGGCCTCCCAAAGTGCTGTGATTACAGGCGTGAGCCACCGCGCCTGGCCCATTTCTGGATTTTCTCGGAGATAGGATGCTATGGCCTCACTGTGCCCATCTTCCTATATGGCAACTATTGCATGGTGCTGGGAAGCAGCCACTCTTAATTTTTTTGGTTTGTTTTTCATTTTTTATTTTTATTTTAGTTTTTTGAGACATGGTCTCCCTCTGTTTCTCAGGCTGGCCCTTTAAACAGGCTGTCATTCTGAAGCTCTTCCCGGTCCCTGTGACTCGCTTCATTCAAATGCATCATCTGTCTGTTGGAGTTGGTGAGGCCTTGCTCTACAGCATGCATGAAGTGTAGGAGGGATGAAAAAGGAGAAAGTGCATCCAAGAGAGCTCTGTGCCATGCAAGAAGCTCTTACAGATTTTCTTAAGGGGACTTGTAATTAAAAAACAACTTCAGTGATTCACTGATTGCTGTACACTGTTGAAAGGGATCACAGAAGATTGCTTGTGGGTGTGGTAATAAAGATGTTAATGGTGATGATGGTGGTGATGATGGTGAAGGCTGTCCTTGCATTGCTATAAAGAAATCCCTGAGACTGGATTATTTATAAGAAAAGAGGTTTAATTGGCTCACGGTTCTGCAGGCTATACAGGAAGCATAGTGCTGGCATCCACTTCTGGGGGGGCCTCCGGAAGCTTTCAAATATGGTGGAAGTCACATGGTGAAAGCAGGAGTGAGAGACAGAGCAAGAGAGTGAGAGAATGAGACACCACACACTTTTAAACAGCCAGATCTCAGGAGAACTCACTCACTACCTGGCAGACAGCACCAGAGGAATGGCGCTAAACCATTCATGAGAAATTCACCTCCAAAGTCCAGTCACCTCCCACCAGGCCCCACCTGCAATACGAGGGGTTACAATTCAACATGAGATTTGGGAAGAGACACAGATACATATTCCAAACTATATCAGTGGTGGTGGTGATGATGATGGTGATGAGGATGGTGTAATGATGATGAGAATGATGATGACGATGGCTGTGATGATGATGACAGCTACATCCAGTACCAGGCTCTGTGATGGGCACTTTAGATGCTTTGTCTCTAGTCGTTAGAACAACCTTACAAAGTAGGTGGAATTATTACCATTTTACAGTAGAGAAAATTGAGGATCCAGGGAGTTACGTACATCAAGAGCCCCACACTTGGGATGTCTCCAGACACACTTTTACAGTCACAGAATTCCTCTATCGATAAGAATTTTTTTGAGCATGCATGTGCCTCCTTTTCCGTCTATTTATCCATAAAGCATAAATTAGTACCGTGATTGTTAGTTAATATCTCAAGACACAGAATATGCCCAGGGCAAAGTTTACTGTGAATAATAGTGGATGTAAATCCACATTTCAAATAGTCTTCTTGATAATTTTTTACTCTTTTTTTGGGGGGGAGTGGGTGGCAGTTGCTTGTCAGATGTGATTAGATCAACATTATTTTTACCTCATCAGATGGTTGACAAAGAGCTTGGAGTGGGAGAAGTTTCAGCTCCGTCATTTTTCATGTCAACTTGCAGTTTGAGCTACGATTTCTAATTGTCCTCTTTGTGAGGGCAATTCAGTTAAAACTAGATAATACTGCCTGTAAATTCACTTAACCAGCCAAAGATAACTGCAACTGGCCAACATGCCAGCGCAGGCACTGCAGCTCGCTCTTTAAGGCCCCTCCCTTGCTCCTTACCCCAAGTCTTGGTGGCCCTGGGACAATGAGAGACCAAGGCCCTGGGACAATGAGAGACAAACTTAATTTCCTTCTTTTTGTTTAGATTTGACAACTGGTGAATAGTTCTAAAAGCTTCCAGGGGCCTGGGCGCAGTGGCTCACACCTGTAATCCCAGCACTATGGGAGGCTGAAGTGAGCAGATCACAAGGTCAGGAGTTCGAGACCATCCTGACCAACATGGGGAAGCCCCATCTCTACTAAAAATATAAAAAAATTAGCCAGGCGTGGTGGCACATGCCTGTAATCCCAGCCAGGCTGAGGCAGGAGAATTGCTTGAACTGGGGAGGCGGAGGTTGTAGTGAGCTGAGATTGCACCACTGCACTCCAGCCTGGGTGACAGAGCAAGACTCCATCTTGGGGAAAAAAAAAGGCTTCCAGCATTCCAGTGCATCATCTTGTGCCCCCTTTTTTGAGGCCCATGGCGGTGGTCCTAAGATCCAAACACAGGGCATTTTCTCTCTTTCTCTCTCTCTCTCTCCCCTCCCCCCCCCCCGTTTCTCTCCCCATCACCCTAAGACCTGTGCTCCCACCATGGTAGACTGCCTTGGTGTCAGTTTTGGTCATTAGAGCAAAAATGTTTGGAACCAGGAGTTAAGGCCCACCTTATCGCTTTGTCTTTCTTTCTCTTCCTTTTCATATTTTGTTCCCTGCCAAAAGAAATATGCTGGCTTTGAATTTGAAAAAATGAAAAAATAAATACATAAATAAAAGCCCTTCAGTGGAATAGAAAATGTAAAGCTTTTAGGTCTTTTTTTCTAGAAAATATCTGCATGTTGCTTGACTTCCTCCCCTCCCATCTCCCTGATTCTGAGGGGTTCAATAGATCAATAGATGTTTGTAGAGTAAATGAAGGAGGAAAGAAGAAATGAAGGAGTGTGTTGGGGATGCCTGAGATGGTTAAGACTAAGAGGAAAATTGAGAAATGATGGGATGGCAGGACTTGGAGAGAGAATTGGGGGCTTCAGAAGTCCTCAAGCACCTACCTTTGAGAATTAAATGACATCTAACCTTGGTCAGCATTTGGAAGGACACTTTTTGTTCAAAAAAGAAAAACGGTACAGTACACTGTGATAAGACCATTTCCTTTCTCACAGCGTCTCCTTTAATGTCAGGTCTGAAATATGAAGTCATTAGGGGATATTAAAACAGTGCTGACAAACTAATTAACAAAAGACATTACGCCGGATGGGCTCAATTTATCCTTTTTAATGGTTCTTATAAATGGGTGCCGCCAATTAAAATTAATAAAGATTTACCAGCGATTGCCCGGTGTACATTGCTAAGAAGCGCCGCTGAAGGTCGGCTTAAAGTCAGCTTTGTCAAAGCTGCAAGTTCAGCTCCTGAGCAGCAAGTCCCACACAGTCCCTGGCTTTTTTGTTTCCCCCTAGCTGTTTCTCCTTCAGCTCCCTCCTCTCGACTTTCTATCCTTGGCTCTGAGTTGTTTGCCCACCATCTCTTCTACCCCACTGTCAGCTCAGCTCCATCCTAGGCTGACTGAGATGCTCAAAAATGAAATACATAAAGGAAAGAATAAAACACTCCTCCCAGTCTCACAGTAGCTGGTCCGATTTGTCACAATTTGCATTGTGGCATTTCTGCTGTTACTTATGGAAAGTGCCTTCTGGGTTTGTTTAGCAGAGCCCATTTCTTGAGATCCACCCAGCCTGGCTTATCCTAAAACGTTCTTGGTGTCCGCAGATTCCTGAGAGATCCAACAGGATGGGTGCGTGGTCGTGAAAATGCTGTCCTGAGGGTTGTCCCAAAGCTGGAATGTGCTTTAAGTGGGTGGGGGTTTGGAGAGAGTGGTGGTGGCCGTTATTCAGGGAACGTTCTGGTCATTCTCCTTTTTATCAAGTGAAGATTTCTTTTATGATGCATTAGACAGTTCCTAATTGATCTCTGTCTTAATGCAAGGGATACCTGTGATGTCCATGCAGACTGGACCACTGTTCTAAAGCTCCCCGCCTCTTCTTTCTGAACACTTCTCCAGCTCAGGGCTGAGCAGCTGCTCTGCTAGAACTCTTCCTACCCCAGATCCAAGCTGCTTCTATCCCACAGTTAGGCCGGCCTTGGCTCTGCTCAACATCAGCCTCAAGGGTGAGTTCTTTATAACCAGCATTCAAGGAGTGGGGCCAGGTGAGCGCCTGAAAAATACCTTCTTTGTCTTTCTTGTAAACAGGGTTAAGTTCTTACCTCCTCACATCTGGATATGGTGGTCGTAGCAAGGGTTGGGGATGAGATAAAGTGGGAGGCTCCAAAGAAGTGAAATCTTAGAGGCACTTGTCCGGGGGCCACTTGTACAGCTGTCACTGGCTGCATGAGGGAGTAAAGATTCCACCTCTCTGTTCAAGCCTCGGAGGAGCCTGTGTTTGAGGGTAAGTGATAGTAAGGGAATTCCTTTAAGGCAAAAGCCAACAGGTTGGAGTCACAGGAGCCTGAAGTGTGGTTCCCAGCGCTGCCAGAATGTGATCTGAAGGATACCAAATGGTCTCTTCTCCCTATGGGCTGGTCCCATGCCCCTTGGCTTGAAGTTCTCAGGGTAGGAATCACTTGAAGGTTGCATGCCAGGTGCTGATCTTGGCTCTAGAAAACCTCATTTAATGCTGCTTCCCTGGTTCTCTTGCTGAGCTCCAGGAACTCAGGTGAGTTCGTTAGATAAACCATGTGACACCTGGTACCTTAAAGGCCTGAGGAACAGGACAGGCATGCCAACAGGGTACAAGTGGGTCAAGAGGAAGTGTGAGCCTTCTCAGCTTGAGAGGGCAAAGGAGCTAAAACCTGACTTTTCCACTTCACAAATTACCCAGTATCTGCCTTTTCCTTGTGTGCCTTTGATGTGGGATTCTGCATATAAGCTCCCTGAAAAGAGGAAGCAATCAGGACAACCAGGCAGGCACTTGGATGCAACTTCTTGAGTGAGGTCTGATGCTGGCACTACAGTCTCCAGCAGGTCTGTGTCACACACTCCTGTTTCAAATGGTGCCCTGGGTATCTGCTGCCATTGGACATCGTCTTACCTCATAGGCTTCCTGGGAGAAGGCTGCATTTGGAATCATCCAAGGCAGGCACCGTGGAAAAACCACTGCCTGTAGAGTCAACCAAACTAGGCACCTACCACATCCGGCTGTGTGCCATTGGAGACAGCCATGTATAATGCCAAGCACATGATTACATTAAGTGCATATTGGTTCTTTTCCTAGGTTTTTTCCACGGAGAGGGTGACTTTTATGTGTTAACTTGACTGGGCCCCAAGGTACCCAGATGATGGCCAAATGTTACTCTGGTTTATCTGTGAGCGTGTTTTTGGATGAGATTAATGTTGGAATCTGTAGACGGAGTAAAGCAGATTGTCCTCCTCAGTGTGGGGGCTTCATTCAATCAGTTGAAGTCCTGAGAAAAAAAGATGGCCCTCCCACAGTGAGAATTATCCTGTTCAACAGCATTTCGGACTTGTCAGCCTCCATAATCATGTGAGCTAATGCCTTAGAGTAAAACTGCCTGTCTGTCTGTCTGTCTGTCTATCTATCATCTATCTTTCTTTCTATCTATCTGTCTATCTATCTGTCTATTGCCTACTGTTTGTTTCTCTGGAGTACTCTGTTATGTCTGCATTTCTGTCACCTTCATCTGTTGACAATATGGGGTTAATATTGCCTTGATTCTCAGACTGTGTGGTTGGAGGGAAGTGACATTCTTGTCAAGTCAAATGGCTTTGTTAAAATAATCTCAGAAAAGCTGGGTGTGTCCTGTAATCCCAGCACTTTGGGAGGTCAAGGTGGGTAGATCACTTGAGGTCAGGAGTTCGAGACCAGCCTGGCCAACATGGTGAAACCCCATCTCTACTAAAAATACAAAAATTGGCTGGGCATGGTGGTGCACACCTGTAATCCCAGCTACTCAGGAGACTGAGGCAGGAGAATCGCTTGAACCCAGGAGGCGGAGGTTGCAGTGAGCTGAGATCACGCCACTGTACTCCAGTCTAGGTGACAAGAGTGAAACTCCATCTCAAAAAAAAAAAAAAAAAAAGACCCTAATTTTTCAGTGTCTCCAAAAAGGAGAGAACCAGGAAGACTTGGACTTACTTTAAAAATCAGAAAAATCATAGCACAATGGAATATATTTGTTCCAGGTCATTCTGAGTCATAGAAACCGGAGCTGGACAGGCTCCTGAAAGCAAGGGTTGGACCACAGGACAAGGAGAGACAGCTCTCACAGAAAGGGCAGGGTAGGTTCATTCTCACCTTGGAGGGGCTCCAGGTAGAGCGGACTCCAGCTACTTTCTCTATTACCCCTTCCCCATTTCCCACCTAATTTTCAAAGCTTCATGGAAATGTGGAAATGGGCAAGGTAGGCAGTCCCACAGCTAAGCTCCTCTGAAGGCCGTGGGGAAACCGTCCGTGGGCAATGAATTCACTGGAAATGTGACCTCCAGAGAACCTGACTGTCTGGGAGGCATTAGCCACACTCTTAATCGTGCATTTTATTATTTCCTTTCTAGCATTGCACAGCAAGTCGCTTGTGTGACAGTACATTAGGGACGACAGCAAGTTAGAATAAATAGACTCTGTTCCCTCACAGAGCCTCCTCTATCAGAAACCAGGATGCAAATGCCTTCTGAAGGCCAGAGGGGTAAAGAGTCCCTGAAGTGGACTGAAGAGATAAATTCAAAAGGAAAGAGTGTTCCAAGGAATGCCTTCAGTCCGACCAGTCTTAAACAGCAAGATAGAGATACGCAAGTTAAAAATTAAAATGTTTCCCATTATAATCTTTTAGTTTTAATATCAGGGACTAATTTAATTTTAACTGTGATCCCTCCTCCCCACTACTGACTTATCAAATGTGATTTTAGGGTTTAATGTGAGATGACCCTCATCAGGAAGGGGTAAGAGGGGCAGTTGAAAGATCACTGGACTTAGAACCACAAGATGCCTTGGCGTTCTGTCGTTCCTCAACTGCTGGCAGGGTGACTTTGGATAAGTAACCCCACTTCTCTGTGTTCCGATTGCTTCAGCTTTCTGTGGTCAGTTAGGAATCACACCCCCACTTACCACAAAAAAGACTCAAATGGGACTATGTACCCAAAAGCAATGTGTACATAAATGTGAGGAGTTAGTAGATCCCCCTTAAGGATTTCTGATCATGAGGGGAAATGGAGTGAGACTGGGGATGTGTCCTTAGCTGGAGAAATAAGATAGCATTTATTATACTTTAGTAGTTAACAATCTTGTACGTTGGACACTTTTATCTTCTTTATACAAATGAGAAAATAAAAGTTTAATAAAGTCAAGAATTGCGCATGGTCACACAACGAGGGAGTACCAATACTTAGACCCAAGCTCATGTCTTCTGACTGCATAGCTCTTGCCCTTTCTACCATGCTAAGTTGGCTTTAATCAGTGTCCCAGAATTATCCAGTCAGCACTCTAAAGCTCAGCCCCTTCTCAGGAACTGTGGTAATGAGACGGTAGAGACAAACAAATTGAGGGCCCCAGCATCTATTGCCTATTTATAGCCCTGTGGACTTAGGTGAGGCAAACTGTCATATATTTGTTGTAAATTCATCCATCCATCCATCATCTAGGGTTCTTTAATATGATAGAAAAATAATAGGATTTGGGGCTGGGCGTGGTGGTTCATGCCAGTATCCAGCACTTTGGGAGTTCGAGACCAGCCTGAGCAACACGGCGAAACCCTGTCTCTATAAAAAAAAACAAAAAACAAAAATTAGTCGGGCATGATTGCTTGAGCCTGAAAGGCAAGGCTGCAGGGAACTGTGATTGTACCACTGCAAAACTCCAGCCTGGGTGACAGAGCAAGACCCTGTCTCAAAAAAATAAAAATAAAAATAAAAAATAAATTAAAAAAAAGGATGTGGAATCAGAGGAAGAACTGGATTTCAGTTTCCATTGCAGACTTTTTTCCACCTGCATCAGAAACATTTGTTAAGTATGCAAATTCCCAAACCTACTGAATCAGATTCTCCAGAGCTAGAACCTAGTAATCTGTTTATTTTACAATCTCTCTAGGTAACTGTGTTTGAGAATTACTGCTGAAGGCCTTATCCCAACTTCTGGTAGGTTTCAGGCTGCTCGAAGAATATACATCAAACATTACCCTGGTTTGGGGTGAGGGACTATGTTATGGGCTCTGTCCTAGAGATTGAGTTATCCTTGACTCTCTGTGAAGTGGGGCTCTCTGGTGCTCCCTTTTCTTCCATTCTTTTTGCCTCCAATTCTGGCTTTTTCCCTAAGCAAGGGAACAATCTTCCCTGATTTGGTGACACTCAAGGTTGATCCTGCTCTGGGGTATTCTTCTCTCCCCTTCTACACTGAAACATGGCACATTCTAGAATCCTAGAGCACTGAGGAACCCTGGAGATTAAAAGTTAGCTCTTCAGATTAAAACCCTGGAGATTAAAACTGTCTATGCTCTTTCTATTATATAAAGCTTCCTTGCATATAGATAGAGTTTAAATGCTTGAATATATGAGTCAGTGACTGAATATTTCTCCCAGGCTATTCCAGGCTCAAAATATTTGCCTAGGACAAGCTCTTCATAATCACTGGGAAACTAGACATCTATAATACAAATTTTAATCATTCTCATTTACTATAACAGTAACTATGGATACTAGCATCATTTATTGAGCATCTATGTGCCAGGTGCTATATTAGATGCTTTACAGACATCATCTTTTTTTTTTTTTTTTTTGAGATGGACTCTCACTCTGTCACCCAGGCTGGAGTGCAGTGGTGCAATCTCAGCTCACTGCAACCTCTGCCTCCCGGGTTCAAGTAATTCTCCTGCCTCAGCCTCCTGAGTAGCTGGAACTACAGGTGTGTGCCACCATGCCTGGCTAATTTTTGTATTTTTAGTAGAGACAGGGTTTTGCCATGTTGGCCAGGCTGGTCTTGAACTCCCGACCTCAGGTGATCCGCCTACCTTGGCTTCCCAAAGTGCTGGGATTACAGGCATGAGCCACCATGCCCAGCCTACACACATCATCTTACAACATCCTTACAAAAGTCTGGCAAAGTACGTGTTTTTATCTTTAGTGTATGGATGAAGAAACTGAGGCTTAGAAAACCAGGCTGACTTGTTCAAGGTCACAGGGAGTGGCAGAGCCAGATATGTGTGTCCAAAGCCCATGGTTTTTTTGGGGGGGACTATCCTAGGGAGTTCTTTATGGCCTAACTATCACTGTGGCAGGTCTCCCAGGAATTTTGTGGACAGCTTGAATCATTGAAACTGCCTGGTCTTAGCCTGCATGGAAGCCTTGGGAAATAGTGACAATCCTCACGAAAACAGGAGCAGCTTTGGGTGCAGTTGTCATAATTTCAATGAGAGTAGGCTCATATTTGGGCCAACTCTCCTGCTCTAAGTCAAAAGAGGAATAGGATGGAGACCTCTTAGCCCATAGACCACTGGATCTACTTGAAGAAAATGCATATGGTGGAAAGAATGAAATCTTATATTTATTTAGTGCTTAATACATTACAAAACACTTCCACATATATGCTCCAAATTTATGTCTCAACACACATGCTCCAATAGCAGGTAGGTTGGATGAGGGCATTATAATTTTCTGTAATTGTTTAGATGAGGACATGGAGACTCAGAAATGATAAGTAAATTTTCAAGGTAATGTAACTAGTGAGTGGCTGAACCAGGATGATAACACAATTCTCCAGATCTCACACCTACTAACAGTGCTTCTCAAAACTTTAATGTGTAAACATATCACTTGGAGATCTTGTTAAAATGCAGATTTCGATTTAGGAGGCCTAGGATGGGGCCAGAGATTTTGCATTTTTCTTTTTTTTTTTTTTTTTTTTTTTTTTGATACAGGGTCTTGTTCTGTCACCCAGGCTGGAGTTCAGTGGTGCAATTTTGGTTCACCTCAACGTCTGCCTCCTAGGTTTAAGCAATTCTCGTACCTCAGCCTTCATAGTAGCTGGGACTACAGGCACACACCACCACACCCGGCTAATATTTATATTTTTAGTAGAGATGGGGTTTCACCATGTTGGACAGGCTGGTCTTGAACTCCTGACCTCAGGTGATCTACCTGCCTTGGCCTCCCAAAGTGTTGGGATTACAGGTGTGAGCCACTGCACCCGGGCAGATTTTACATTTCTAAGAAACTCTCAGATGATGCCAATGCTGCTGGCCCACAGACCACACTTTAAGCAGTGAAGTTCTAGACTATGGTGCCTTGGTCTGGGCACTGATCATCCCCATCAGGCTGAAAATCCTCACCAGGTCATGCTTCTTCAAGGCCCCTCCTTGCTTTTTCCTTTGTCATCTTGTGTGGGGGCTTCTTTTTCAGTAGGGTAGAGTTGGGAGCTGCATGAAAAAGAATTATGAAAGGAAAAGAGATTTAATGTCTTGTTTGATGACATTTCTTTTTCTGAAAAATGGAAATGAAATAATATACTACCTTTTAAGTTCCTTTTAGGGTCATGAAGATAAGAAATACAAGTCAGTAAATCACATAAAAAGTGCCCAGCTGAGGACAAACCAGCAGCATTCTGGCCTCGATACTCCTTTGAGTTTTCTATCAGAAAAGTGTACATTTTGAAGTAATGAAAATACACTGGGAACTTTATTGGAGGAAAGGGCACCTACCTCTAATGAATGAGCCTCCATCTCATCCCCAAGTCACCTGTGGATCAATTTAGATTCAATTAACATTTATTGAACATCTACTATAAAAATAACAATAGCCAGTAGCTAATGAGGGTTTCTTATGTGCCTGGCTCAGTTTCAAACACTTTTGTGTTCATTTAATCTTGCTATCCACCCTTAATGTAGGTAAGTGGCCCAAAGTCGCACAGATAATAGATGGCAGAGCATGAATTCAAATCCAGTCCTCTCCCCTACTGACTCTACCTGCTTAACTCTCTGTGTACCTCCACTTCTGGGATGAACTGGGAGTATTCAGAGAAACATGCAACATTGAACAGGAATGCAAGTAATTTGGCCACTATAGGGCTGGTGCTTTACAAACAATATCCCACTCAATTCTTAGAACAACCCTTTGAGGTAGGAGTCGTCTCCCATTTTAGAGATGAGGAAATGGGAGAGTGATCTAATAACCTTCCCCAAGTCTCACAGTTAGCAAGTGACATAGCCAAGCCTAAAACTCAGGAGTTTCTGACTCCAAAGCACATACTTCTCTCATTAGCCCTTGAGGGCTTTATTACCAGCTTGTCTAAGTCTATTTGTGTTGCTATATAGTAGGAATACCTGAGGCTGGGTAATTTATTAAAAAAAAGAATTTATTTGGCTCACAGTTCTCGTGTCTAAAAGATTGGGTATCTGGTGAAAGCCTCAGGCTGCTTCCACTCGTGACAGCAGGTGAAGGGGAGCTGGCATGTGCAGAGATCACATGGTGAGAGAGGAAGCAAGAGAGAGAGGGGAGGCGCTAGGCTCTTTTCAGCAACCAGCTCCTACAAGAACAAACAGAGTGAGAACTCACTTATCCCCCACCCAGGGAGGGCATTAATCTATTCATGAAGGATTAACCCCTGTGACTAAAATGGCTCCCGTTAGGCCCCATCTCCAACACTGTGGATCAGATTTCAGCACGATATTTGGAGGAGACAAACATCCAAACTACACCACAACCATACGCAGCAGCAGTGTGACATTCTTTACAGGGATGGAGTCTTCAAGAATTTGTCCTCTCAGGGCACACTCCTGCTCACAGCCCCACATGCTAGATGAACCAGATGTTTCACCTGCCTGAGGGAGGGGCTGTGTGACCTTCCCAGCCCCTGATGAGGGACCCAGATGTTTGCACCAGGACTTTAGTTTCTGGGTCTTAGAAGAGGTGGGTGACAGCAGTTGCACAATCATATTCTCCATCCCCTATTAACAAAAGTTTGTTTGTGAAATTGTGAACTCTATGTGTTTTGTTTTTCTTTTCTCCGAGACACAGTCTTGCTGTCACCCAGGCTGGAGTGCAGTGGTGCAATCTTGGCTTGGTGCCAGCTCCGCCTCCCAGGTTCATGCCATTCTCCTGCCTCAGCCTCCCGAGTAGCTGGGACTACAGGCGCCCGCCACCACGCTCGGCTATTCTTTTTGTATTTTTTTAGTAGAGCCAGGGTTTCACCATGTTAGCCAGGATGGTCTCAATCTCCTGACCTTGTGATCCGGCTGCCTCAGCCTCCCAAAGTGCTGGGATTACAGGCGTGAGCCACCGTGCCCGGCCGTGAACTCTATGTGTTCTATGTGTATCCATTGATGATCATTTTTAGCGAGCAGTGTCAACAACTGTGTAGTCAATGACTGTGGGATCCCCCAACACAGCGAAGGTGGGACCCAACTGGCCCTCGGATTTCTGGAATTCGTTGCTGTTACTATTTAGGATCCTCTATGACTTGTTCTTTTTTTCTGCAAAAGATCAAATGGAGGCTGTTAATTAAGGCTGTTGCTTAACTAAGATGACAAAGTAAGCCCTTGGGAGGCAGGGCCATTTTACCCTTTGGGCAGGGATAATGATCAAGAGACTTATCTGGTAAGCACAGACCCTGACCAATTAAAATGGATACCAGAGGTAAACAAAAAGTACAATTATACTAGGGTGCACCAGCTGACCATTTGCTCTGTCTTTGGGTTCAAAGTTTTACAAGGTCCTATGAAAATGCCTAAGACTCAACAAAACAAAAGGAAATATGAATGTTAATAATGTTTTAATTAAATGTCTGTAAATCACAACATGTCAACTAGCTAATTGCAACTAAACTCAAGTAGTTAGGTATAAATTTGACTTAATGTAGGATAAGTGAGTCTTTGAATATGGTTGCTAGGCAGTGGAGTGGGGTGAGAATGCCTCGGGCTTGCAAAGACCCACAATCTGCCACGGAGGAGGGTCGAATGATTAAACAGTCACTCTCGAGTCAAAGCTCTCCTTTGGAATTCTGTTCTGCTTCTTCTGTTTTTCTTCGCATTGGTCCCCTTGCTGTTATCAGCAGGTAAGTAAATTCCCCATTTTCTGAATAGGGATGAGGGTACGTCAGTGGGGGTCGTAAGAGGGACACTGGACTGCAGTGAGAGATCTGGCTTCCTTCCCTGGATCAATCGATTCCTTCTCTGGATCATTTATGCTGCACGTGTTTTCTGAGCCATGCTCTGAGCTAGACCCTGGTGATATCACTAACCAACTGTGTGGCCAGAAAGGTTGTTTGACCTATTTAGACGTCAGTTTCTCCGCCTGTAAGATGAGGGACTAGGTGGTATTTCTGATTCTTCTTAGCTGATGTTGCCCAGAACTAGAATTCACGTAGGGGGCTATAGTGGAAACCACTGCACATTCTTATATTTTCAGGAAAGTAGATCACTCTTTGTATGGACAGCTGGGCCCAGGTGCTTAAGAGCTGCAGACCCAGGGACTGGGCCTAAGGATTTCCATTTGAGGGTAGTGGGTTGCTGAGGGCTCTTTGCTTTGCCTCTGCCAAGAGACTGCCACATCTTGCCTGATCAGGGGCCCTTTTCCCTTGGGAAGACACCTCCTCGGTCGCAGGGGAATGAGGGCTGATACTAAGGAAGGAGAAGTGTGGCACTGGGAGCCCGGCCTAACACAGCCATCCTGACTGTATCAGGAAATGGCCAGTGGGGAGTAGGGTGTGGCAGGACCTAAAGTGAACATTTATAATTTGAGAATCCTGGGAAGCCTTTCCTGAGGCTTATGAAACATGTGAAATTAACCTTTTTTTTTCTTTTTTTGGAGACAGAGTCTTGCTTTGTTGCCCAGGGTAGGGTACAGTGGTGCAGTCTTCACTCAGCAACTTCTGCCTCCTGGGTTCGAGTGATTCTTGTGCCTCAGCCTCTGGAGTAGCTGGGACTGCAGCCTCATACCACCATGCTTGGCTAATTTTTGTATTTTTAGTAGAGAAAAGATTTTACCATGTTGGCCAGGCTGGTCTTGAACTCCTGATTCCAGGTGATCCACTGGCCTAGGCCCCCCAAAGTGCCGAGATTACAGGCATGAGCCGACACACCCATCCTGAAATAGGTGAAATTAACTTTAATCATATATTTTTTGTAACTCAATATATCCAAATAATTATCATTTCAACTTGTAATCATATAAAATTATTGAAATATTTTTACATTCTTTACTTTTTCAAATGAAGTCTTTGAAATGTAGCTTGTATTTTATGTCTATGGTAAATCTCCATCCTGAGTAGCCGCATTTCAAGGGCCCAGTAGCCACAAGTAGCTTGTAGCCATCATCTTGGATAGGGCAGCTCTAAAGAATCCTTGGGGAAGCTTCAGGGAGGTTGTGAACACCTTGAAATTGGTGGCAAGTTTTTGTTTCTATGTGCATTGTGTGTGTGTGTGTGTGTGTGTGTGTGTGTGTGTGTGTGTGTGTAGCTTTATTAGATTTTCAAAGGCATCAGTGACCCCCCAAGGATTAAGATCCACTGATTGAATGGAAAAATTTCAAATTTCTCAGTGCCAAATCTTGTGATATCCCAAACTTGACCTTGCTGTGCTGGGTGGGGTACCCTGTTCACCAATTTCCAATACTCCTGGCTGGCTCTGAGTATGGAGTATGTACTTTGTGTACGAACACAGGGGTTTTCTAACCCCTGTGTGTGTGGGTCAGAAAACACGGTTTCCAGAAGAATGGGAAGGACATCCCAGGAGTTACTGGAATGCAAGGAAAGCCATCGCAGGCGAGAGGGGACATTTCTTGCCATTGGCAGACCAATATCATTCCGATAATCTGTTTTTTTTTTGTTGTTTTTTTTTTTGACAAGGTCTCACTCTGTCACCTAGGCTGGAGTGCAGTGGCACGATCTTGGCTCACTGCAACCTCTGCCTCCTGGGCTTAAGTGATCTTGCCGCCTGGGCCTCCCAAGTAGCTAGGACTACAGGCTCACGCCACCATGCCCGGCTAAGTTGTGTATTTTTAGTAGAGATGGGGTTTCACTCATGTTGCCCAGGCTGGTCTTGAACTCCTGAGCTCAAGCAATCCAACCACCTTGGCCTCCCCAAGTGCTGGGATTACAGGTGTGAGCCACCGTGCCTAGCCAGATCTGTGATTTAAGATGATTTTCCAGATCACCAAGGACATAGAAATAATGTTAAATTCAACATTATGAAAGATAGATGTAAAGGGAAGAACGTAGCTGGTTGAGAATGGTATGCAGGTGGGTTTCAAACCTCACTTGTTCTCTCTCTTAGACCCCCTCCCTCCAAACATAAACCTCAGCTTTTGAATCACATGAGATGACTTGAAAACAAAGTGACTTCTGAGTGGCCTTGACTCTCCTCATCCCTCGAGGGTGAGTTATTCCCAGAAGTTCTCTCAGAGAGAGGGTACACCTTCTACACCAGGGTTCTGAAACTGCTGTCCATGAATGGGCTTCATAGCATGTCGGCAGTGTTGCTGGCGGTGTACATGTCTGCAAGAAATTTTCTGGGGACAGAATTCTGAGATTTAATACATTGCCAAAGAGGTCTGTGACCCTTCATAGGGTCCAACCATCTGTCCACATCCTACAAGCAGGGAAGGTTAGCACAGTGTGTCTGGGTCTCCATTTCCCCTCTGTTGCCGGAGGGTCTCATGCAACTTCCCCAGGAGACCTTTTCTCCATGGAGAGCCAGGAAGAGAAGCCATCTGCCTGTCACCTGTGTGCTCAGTGAAATCATAAGAGCCTGTGAGCTCAGAACCCAGGCTGGAGCAAGAGAATGGCCTGCAGAGTCATCTCCAAACTCCTTATCCCGGTCTCCTGGGCCACTGGCCTTGTGTAATCCATATATATATATATATATATATTTTTTTTTTTTTTTTTTTAAAGAGAGAGTCTCACTAGGTTGCCCAGGCTGGAGTACAGTGGCGCAATCTCGGCTCACTGCAACCTCTGCCTCCCAGGTTCAAGAGATTCTCCTGCCTCAGCCTCCCAAGTAGCTGGGATTACAAGTGAGTGCCACCACACCCGACTAACTTTTGTATTTTTAGTAGAGATGGGGTTTCACCATGTTGACCAGGCTGGTTTTGAATTCCTAACCTCAAGGGATCCACCTGCCTCAGCTTCCCAAAGTGCTAGGATTACAGGCGTGAGCCACTGTGCCCAGCCTGTGATTGATAATCTTGATGCGGCTCCAATCTGGGGCTCTGTGGCCCACTAGCTCCACTATGCCTACTTGTTTTTAGCCTTGGGGCTTCCTGGGTGCCTGATATGAGCCCTTGTTCCAAGCAAAAGCATGAGGATAATGAAATTTTTTGTCAGCCCTTTCAGATGCAGATACAGAAAATGGGGACTTTGAACTCAGTTGTTCCCATTCTCTCATGTTACAGATGGGAAAACAGGCTGGAGTGGTGAAGGGACTTACCCAAGGACACACAGACGTTAAGCAGAATTCAGCTCTTCCCACGGCCCAATACTGCCTCTCCTGCTCTTTCAGCCCACAGTCTACCTGGTCCCCAGTGTCCTCAGATGGCTCAGGCAGGGTCATGCCTGATTAAGAACACTAGAGTGTAACAGACCTAGGCCCAAATCTCAGCTCAGCCATTCACTACTTGTGAGATCCTAGACAAATTATTTTTACTCCGAGCCTCAGTTTTCTCAGTCTGTAAAATGGGGATAATCAGACCTATGTCCTGAGCTTATTCTAAGGACTAGATTAGATAATGTATTAGAGCATTTGGCACAGGGCCTAGTGTGTAATAAGTGCTGAGTAGATTGTAGTTATTATTTAGGCCTCTCCTCCCCCATCCCCCAGCAAAATCCCTAAGGCATTGATCCTCTGAAAATGTCCACATTTATCTATCCTGGGTTTTATTCAGGGAAGACCTTGCTAGGTGACTGGCTGATGAGCACTGGGGGTCTATGGCTTGCCTGCTGTGTGTATCTTTCACTAGAGTGTGGGCTTGGGGAGGACACACATCACTCTTGTTTCCACTATGTGTCTCCAGAGACCAGCTCAGTGCCTGGCATAGAATAGATACCCAGTGGATGTCTGTTGAATGGACAAATATTCAACTGGTGGCCTTCAGTGTTGCAGTGGGCTGAATAAGGGGTCCCAAAGACATCAGGTCCTGATTTCTAAAACCTGTAAATGTTATCTCATAAAGAAAAGGGGTCTTTGCAGATGTGATGAGCGTTAAGGATCTTGAGACAGGGAGGTTATCCTGGATTATCTGGATGAACCTTCAGTGCAATCGTGTATCCTTATAAGAGGGAAGCAGAGGGAGACTGGAATACATGTGAGAGGAAAAGGTGATCTGAAGACAGAGCTGAGAGAAATTTGAAGACGCTGGCCTTCAAGCAATAGAGTGATGTGACTATAAGCCAAGGAGTGCTGACAGCCACCAGAAGTTGGATTCTCCCCTAGAGTCTCTGGAGGGATCATGGCCCTACTGACACCTTGACTTCATACTTTTGGTTTCCAGGGCAGTGGGAGGATACACTTCTGTTATTTTAAGCCACCAAGTTTCTGGTAATTTGTTACAGCAGCCCTAAAAAACTAATGCAAGTGTCTTTACCCAAAGAAGTTAGTAACATGGGAATTCCAGGGACTAGAGAGCCTTACATTTTCGAGGGTAGAACCAAGGAAGCTCAAAAATTCTTTAATTCTATGTTTCATTTTTTTCTCCTAGAGATAGTGCCCTCCCTCTGGGAAGCTGCTGACAAAGTCCAACAATATGGCTCAAATAAGAATCCAGAGGGCATGGATAGTTGAAGTGGACTCTCTCTCATGCATTAAAGAGAAACAACCAGATGACTTGTTAACTAAAGGGGAGGGTGATACTTAAATTAAGAAAGCTGAGCTGCATGAATTGATTTATTCATTCAACTGATATTTATTGAATACCTACTATGTGCCGGGCACTGTTCTAGGCCTCGAGGATGCAGAAGTGAGCAAGACGGGGGAAGAAGAGCTCCTGACATATGGAGCTTACATCCTAGTTGGGAGAGACAGGCACACACAAGCAAAACGAATGTTCACCCGTGACAGTGGCAGCTTGGGCAGCAGCAGTTCTCCCTATGAGATCTCTTTTGCCTCCAAAAGCTTCACCCATGGACAAGACACAAGCAATTTTCAACCGATGATCAATGCTCTTACCAAATGGCTGTTTCCCAGCATAGAGTCCACCCCACCAGGGCTCTGAAGGCATCCTCCTACACATAAACATCATTCTTCCCTCCCTCTCTTTCCTCCTGCCTCATCAGAATTGTTTGCAAACTTGTTTCTAGACCCTCTGATGAAGTTGAGAGAAACTGAGGCAAAATCCCCCATCACTAACTTTTTCAAGGATCCCTTAAAAAGTGAGGGGCAGAAACAGGAAGACTTTTGGGATTAAGGTATTTCTTTCCCAACTGGCATTTTGAAGTTTGTGAAATGTTTAGTATATTCAAAGCTATCAGAAAAGGCATTCAGAAAGAGGGGCTCTGGTTTTGTGTTTCTGGAAATTGACCTGAGAAATGTGAAGGGGTGATATATGGGAGAGGATACTCAGTGTTAGGACTGGGATACCAATGGTTAGAAGTGACAGAGTGACAGAAAGGCAGAGTCCAGTTCAATTTGAGAAAGAACTCCCTGACTGTCAGAGCAGTCGAATAATGGAATGCAGAGCTCAAACATGGCTAATGGCCGCTTGAGGGATTGTTAGACAGCAGTGAAGCTTCTGAAGGAGGAATTAACTAAGTGACCTTTATGGTCTCTTGCAACCCTGAGGAGGCTATGATTTAACTAAGCATTCCAGAAAATTGTAATATACTCAAGTTGAATGTGATATACTTGAAACTTCATGTGCCAAACAATATAGTATTAACATGTGAAGAAACTGACAGAAACAACAGTAGTGGGAAACTTTACCACATTTCTTTTTCTATAAAAGCAAATGAGAACATAACTATAATTGAGAAAATTTCTATACATTCTTAAAGGTTGAAATACAACAGACTACATCTTCTGTCCACAATGTAATAAACCCAGACATAAATAAGAAAAACTAAACAGTAGTGGATACCTTTTCATGTGTCCAATCTGTTCACAATAACGAATCCCTGTCCCTTCTCTTTCATAACTCCTCCCACATTTTGGTTTTCAGCAACAACTTAGTACAATATGATCGCACTTCCCTGGCCTTGACTGATTGACTTAAGATTGGACACCTGATCCAGATGGGCCAGACCTCCTTCCCTGAAAATCTGGAATTTGAGGCACAGAGATAGGAATATCATCTCTCAGGTGGCTGGACCTACAATATACAAATTTGAGAACTATCAGTGATTGTGATCTGCCATGTGAATTCAAGAAAGAAGAAACTGGTTGGCAAAAAACAAAACAAAACCCCAAACCACTATAGAAACAATGAAATAGGCCAGGCATGGTGGCTCACATCTGTAATCCCAGCACTTTGGGAGGCTGAGGCGCGTGGATCACCTAAGGTCAGGAGTTCAAGACCAGCCTGGCCAACATGGTGAAACCCTGTCTCTACTAAAAATAGAAAAATTGGCCGGGCTTGGTGGCGGGCACCTGTAGCTCCTGCTACTTGGGAGGCTGAGGCAGGAGAATCGCTTGAACCCGGGAGGTGGAGGTTGCAGTGAGCCAAGATCATGCCACTGCGCTGCAGCTTGGGTGACAGAGCTCGACTCCATCTCAAACAAACAAACAAACCCAGAAACAATGATTTAGATATGTAGGAGCGAGCAGAGATCAGAGAGAAGCTCCCAATGATTTACCAGTTGCTGATTTATGCCCTTTTAAGAGTCTCAATGCATTTTTGCTCTTGGAGTACACAAGGTCCTTATATCCTTATAACAATTCCCATCTTTCACTTAAGTCAATTGGGGTTATTTTCCTTGCAATCAGAGAATTCTGACTCATAAGACTAAACAAACTTCAAACCATTTGAAGATTTTAAAATTCTCTTTTAAACAACCCTTAGGTCAAGAATTAAGTCAAAGCTGAAGTTACAGAATGTTTAGAAAATCATTAACATGAAAGTAGTACAAACTGCAAACTAAGGGATGTAGTCAAAGCTATATTAAGAGGAAAATTCATAGCCTTAAAAACTTAGAGCATGGAGCTCTGGATCCAGATGACCTGTGTTAACATTCCTTTTCTATTAATTAAAAAATTATAATATATAATATGATAAAACATGAATACTGAAGCCATCTTTGAGGGATGGGCAGGATTGGGCTGCCTCAGGGCATTTTGGGGTTCTCAGGTTACACTGTAGAATAGAGACGGTGTATCCCAAGCACTTGACTGCCTTCTACTCTCTCCACAGACAGAGCTGTTCCTGGCTTGGGCTAATGGCAGGATGAGGTCTGGGTACCATCTGAGTATCTCAGTGCTAGTGCAGGACAGGAAAGCATAAGGCTACCTTGGTGTGGGGAGTGACTGCCTCCTCACTTGACTGAGGGGTTAATGAGGCAGGGGAAGGATTTCTGTGAGTTTTATTGGCTTGTGAGGCTAGAGGTTAAGAAAAGGAGACCACTAGACCTGAAACTATACCCCTTGCTTACTGATATCCCACATTCCCTGATCAGAAGGCAAATCATTTTTCTTTGCTGACTTCTGGGTTAACAGGGCTCCACACCTGAGGGTGTCAGTTACTTTCTTATTTTTGTAGGTGGAAGATGGATTGCTAACAACATGTGATTCTCAGATGGTGAGTGGGAGAAAAGGGCAACCATGTGGTCTGATAAGTTGTGGAATCCTTGTGAGGGGATGGGATCCCAGGAAGTGTGCATCTCATCACGGAGAGAATCAGTTATCTGGTAAGAACAGGAGGCAGGAAGGAGCACCTTGATCAGGCCTGGGCTCCTCTGAGGTCTGCCAGGTTCCTGCATTTTATTTTATATTTTATTTTATTTATTTTATTTTTTTTTTTATTTTTTAATTTAATTTAAATTAATTTAATTTTATATATTTTTTTTGGGTTAAACAGTGGAAAGTTTATTAGACAGTCTTTCTCTCTCCTTGCCAGAGAGAGAGAGAGAGAGAGAGAGAGAGAAAGGTCTGCAAAGGAAAAGGCAGTGTGTGCCAGGGCAGACTTTATAGGCAGGCTGGAGAAGGCAGTGTCTGATTTATGTTGGGCTCACAGATTGGTTCGATCAGGTATGACGTTTATATAGCACACGGGGAAGGCAAGTTGCCCCATCCTAATCTTACTATGCAAGTGGGCTTTCCAGTTGATCGCCACCATCTTGTTTGCTCTTTACACGTGGCTGACAGAGAAGGGAAGGTGGGGCCACCATCTTGAACATGTCTAGTTCCTAGTTCTTGCTGGCATTCACCTGTGCAAGCTCCCAGCTATGTCTGCAGCTAGACTTTACAGGCGGTTCTTTGTTAGAAAATGGTTTGCAGCTGCTTTTCATTAAATAGAAAAGCGTTACTGAGGACTCACATACCCTTACTATTTGCCTAAGTGATTTCTTCTTAACTCCTATATCATTCCTCCCTCTGGAGTGGTAACACTAACTGGTGTTAGGGGGTGTTCGGTGATGACTCTTCCTGGCTACTTCCTACTGAAAAGGGGCGTAATGTGGGGAACAGCACTTAGGGCTCCTCCTGGGGTTGATCTAAGGGTCCTCGGAAGAAAGGCGTGTTCATGCGTGGTTTGGTCTGCAGCACTGTTTGGAGTTTGATTGCTGTCAGCCATTCCAATGGGTTGTAACACTGGTTTGCCTCCACCAGATGTTGCATCACTTTTTGTTTCTTCCAAGCTGCAGCTCACCACTTGATTCACAGGAACAAGAACGGTGAGTAGATGGTTTCCAAATTCTGGAGGAACCAGGTAGAGAGAAACAAACATGCTCCAAATTTTGTTCACAGGAGTATACCTTACTCAATTATTAAAGGCCATAATTAGTTCAAAATAAGTTTCCTTGACTCACACCAATGATTCTACCTTCCATTCTCATCTCGATCCCTGATGAGAACACCCAACTGAAACAGCTACATTGTCTGGGGTATATACCATGGGGATCGTAGTCTCTTGCCAAGAAAGAATTCAGAACTTGGACAGATGTGGGTGGGTTAAGGAGCGGAAAGTTTAATAGACAGAAAAAAGGAGAGAGGAGAGCAGTTCCTTGCAAGAGAGAGACGACCAAAACCGGTGCCTGCATTTTAGCCTGTTGACCTTGAATTGGAAGGGGATGTTGTCCTGCTCTTTTCCCTCAGGAGCCAGGTGTGCTGTGCTCTGCAGAGTGTTTGGTTTTGTGAAGTTGAAAATCCAATACACTCAGAACAGTGTTGCCATGTCTAGATTCAGGATGTGTAATCTCCTCCTGGGTCCCATGGCAGCCATCTGGGTTGCCTGTCACCCTATCCTCTGTGGTATATTTTGGTCCTAACCACTATTAATCCATAATATCTTAATAGCAAACAAATTCATTCTTATCAATCATCTACCAAGTGCCAGGTGCTGAGGACACAGTGGTGAGCAAAGCAAAGTCCCTGCCTGTGTGGAATTTACATTTCTGTGTGGGAGGCAGGCAAGACAAGAGGACAAGCACAAACAATATTTCAGAGAGTGGTAAGTGCTCTAAATTTCAAAGCAGGGTAGGAGGCAGAGAATGATAGAGGAGGGGACAGTTTTAGGTCAGATGGGGACACTTGAGCGGAGACCTGAACAATCTGGAGAGAGCTTTGGAAGATCTGAGAGGAGTGTTCACCTCAAGGGGACAGCAAGTGCCAAGGTCCCAGGGCGGGAACTAGCTTTGCACAATGGTAAGAAAAGTGAATGAAGGGCAGAGAGGGAGTTGACACGGTCAGACTCTAACAGAACAGATCTGATAGAACTGGCTTTCAGTAAGGTAGGGAATGGATGTGCTTCCTTCACTTAACTATGTGGTTCTTAGCACTATAAACCCAGTGGACCAATTTAACCAAACGGCATTCTGAGATGAGCACTGGACTGAGTCAAGAAACTGACAGTCTAGTCTAGTTCAGCCACTATTTTGCTGTGTGACCTCAGGCAAGTCCCTTAACCTCTCTGTGCCTTAATTCCTCATCTATAATATTAGAAAAGCAGGGTCCCCTTGAGTTCCAAATCTCTGGAGTTTACAACCAGGTACTGTATTTCAAATGCAGACAACTAGGCAGTTGTTTGAGAGAGAAGTAGAAGAATAACCAGGAGGAGGGAGAGGAAAAGGAGGAGGAGGTAGAGACCCTTCCAGACTCTAACTTCCTTGCCTCTACAGACACCTGGTGGAATGTGGCATGTGAGAATATCTGCCAAGATACCAAAGGAGGCATTTTATAGAGAAGAGGTGAGGGTGCATTCCCTTACTGATCCCAGTGCCACACAGCAGTGCCAACAAGTCATTTGGGAAATAAGTAGAGTCTGAAACCCATGTCGTCATGAGGGCTTCCAGGAATAAATGAAAGAAATAATAAAAGAGCCAACCAGGAGAGACTTGGACATGCTCAGGGAAGAAGCTCTGGGAATTACATGTCTTTTAGGGCTTGGGATATTTTTTGCCAAATAACGAGAAAAGTGGAGAGGAGAAGCAAACAGGAAGATGGGCGAAAGTCCTGAGAGTGGGAGGAAAGCTTCCAGCAAGACCCCGCCCATGAAGGGAGCCAGCTGGAATGACTGTCGTCGAGGGCTAACGGGAAGCACATCCGGCAGGCTCAGGTCTAGCTCTCCTAGGTAAATGGCCCTCTTTGCCTCTTCTCATGAGACTGGCAATGCGTGCTTCAGCTGGTGATTTGTGGGCACAGCAACATTCCAGGGACAGCACAGGTGTGAGCCATTCTTTGGAGTTAAACACACCCAGGTCTGAATGGTAGCTCACCTGTGTGACCTTGGGCAAGTCATTTAACCCACTACATGGGGAAATACGGGATGCTGTTACTCACCTCTGGAGTTGGTATAGGAATTACGTTATAGGGAGTCAAAAGATAGTACCACCCTTCCCCACCTGGGTCTGAACCAATTCTTGAATAAGATAAAAGAGCCAGCATATGGAGGTCCCAAATCACCTTCCTTACAACAAAGGCCAGGTTGTATAACACGTAGCTTACCTCTACAGGCCAGGGGATTCCCTGACGTGTAGCCCCAGAGTTCACAGACCTACCTGGCCGCCAGGATCCCTGGATCTTCACAGCCCCTGTAAAGCTCATAGAGTGAGACAGTGAAGCCCCCAAAGGGGAGGAGGTGGTGGGAACAGGGAGGGCCGTGCATGCCCAGTTTCTCCTCCCAATTCCCCACTCAGATGCTTCTCCCTCTAAAGATGTACTGAGGTGAAGAGCCGGGAGTGTCTCAGCAGGCTGAGCTCGCTCCCCATGGAAGGAAACCACAGAAGCCGGGGAGTGAATTAAAAGATCATGTGAGGAAATCTAAATGATGTGCTCACCCCAGGGCCTGGTATCTGATAAGGACACAGTAAACAGTAGCTTTAAACATCTTCAGCCTGGCTTGGTTTACTCAATGCTTTCATGCAAATATTTATTGAGTGTGCACTTTGTGCAGAGTTTGTGCCAGCTACTAGAGAGGATACAGGAAAGCAGCCGATTCCAAGCTCTTAACTACCCCTACCATTCTGTTGCTGCTGTGACCATTGCTGCTCAAACTATTTCTTACTCCTGGCTAATGTTTATTAGTTGGATCCTACACATCAGGAACTCATGTCTGCTGCTTCTGTATATTATCTCATTTAATCCTCAAAATGACGCTAAGGAGTGGTTATGATTAGAATCTTACTTTGGGAGGCCGAGGTGGGCGGATCACGTGAGATCAGGAGTTCGAGACCAGCCTGGCCAACATGGTGAAACCCCGTCTCTACTAAAAAAAAAAAAAAAAAATTAGCCGGGTGTGGTGGCACACGCCTGTAATCCCAGCTACTTGGGAGGCTGAGGTACGAGAATTGCATGAGCCTGGGAGGCAGAGGTTGCAGTAAGCGGTGATCATGCCACTGCACTCCAGCCCGGGCAACAAAAGCAAAACTCCATCTCAAAAAAAAAAAAAAAAGAATCCTACTTTGCACTTGCAGAATGTGAGACTTTAGCAGTTGAGGTGTCTTGCTCACGGACTCGTTGAGGGTAAGTGCAGGGCAGGCCTGGAGCCGATGGATTATATAGCAAAGCAGGTCGATGTGAGGTGACCAGATTTGTCCCTTGGCAATTTCCTTAAGTGTCCACCGCACATCATAGGCAACAAGGGCTCAGAGGTTCCCAGGGGTGGCTTTGGAGTCCTGCAGCCTGGCTGCGAGCACGAGAGCCATGCAGGTGAGGTGGCAGATATTCAGCTCTTCAGGACATTTCCCCAACCATTTGGATGTGGCTTCACTTCCCCATGAAGGGCATAAACTTGGAAGACATAAAACAGCTCTAGGGGTGGGAATGAAAGTAAATTAGGCACAAATTCGAGAGGCAAAGGACCATTGCAGCAGTTTGGCAGGCCGAGGTAGGAGGATTGCTTGAGCCTAGGAGTTTGAGACCAGCCTGAGCAACACAGCGAAACCCCATCTCGACAAAAAAATTAGCTGGGCATGGTGGTGTGCGCCTGTAGTCCCAGCCACTCAGGAGTCTGAGGTGGGAGGATCGCTTGAGTCCGGCAGGCAGAGGTTGCAGGGAGATGAGATTGCACCACTGCACTCCAGCCTGGGTGACAGAGCCATACCCTTTCTCAAACAAAAACAAAAACAAAAACAAAAAAACAGGCAAAGGACCAGCTTTGAAACCAGCACTGCCTAAATGCAGCTGTGCTGTTCATTGTGAACTATGGGTTTTGGGTTGCACAGTTGCTTGATTGTCCCTTTAGTTAGTAGTGCTTTGGTTCCTTTCTCAAGGGCAGGGCCCTCATCCTCTTCTGATGTTCTCCCAAGCCAGCTTCTAGCCCTGCTGTGTTCAGGAGGGACTATTTGGGCAGTACAGCTCTGTTGCTTATGTGAGGTCAGACAGAGGCCTCCCCAAACATAGCTCTCTGAGCTTCCTGGGACCTGCACGTCCCTTTTGCTGTTGTACCACAAGGATCCACTCTTCTTCCTGGCTGGTGGGGGCTGGGGGTGGGGGAGTTTCTCAGTCCCAAAGCAGAAATGGCAGTGCCTGCATTGTCTGGGAAAGAATCACCTCCTGTTTGTGAGGTTTCCTGGGCTGCCCTCCCTACCCAATTTTCAATAATGTTGCTAACGAGCCAGAGAGAGGAACCAACATAATTCACAGTACACAGTTATTAAAATGAGCAGACCTGCACAAGAAGACACACACATAATGGGCGCTCTAGGTTGAAAAAAAACATACAAACTAACCAGGGCACAGAAGTAAGGGGGTCACAGTTCACTGTTCACTGTGTGTCTTAGATTCAGCTTCCTGAGGAGCAACTCAGAGACAGGGATTTGTAAGCAAATGGTTTAACTGGGAAATGGTCCCAGAGAGCACCATAGAGAGTGGTGAGCTTGAGAGAGAAGGAAAGGAAGCTGGTTACCACTGTAGGAAACTGGAGTTTAATCCTACTGGGGAACTCTGTAAACAGTGCAGAACATGAGTCTCAGCTCTGTCTCTCCAAAGAGTGAGGTAGCTGCGTGTTTATACACCAACTCCCACCAGCCACTGGTGGAGGGCCCCAGGCTGCCTTGAGTTTGTCTCGTGATGGGAGGTTCTGGTGTGCTTTCATGGCCAGAAAAACTTGTGGAAAGGGAGATACAGATGCTGGCTGGTGGAGGTCAGGCCAGCCTGCTCAGAAACAGTACATAGCCAAAGGGTATGGTTGGGGCACTGACAGCTTCTGCTAAATTGTGGGAACTGGTACCTTCCAGATGGTGAGTCATTCAATCCTCATTATAAGCTGATGAGGCAGGTGATGTCCACACTATAGAGATAGGGGAGCCAAGGGGCATACAGTTCTCATGTTTCTTGACTAGAGCATTGTTCTCTAGAGCATAGGATGTTTTTAGCATCCTGGACTTCTTCCGCTAAATGCCAGTGGCACCTTCCCATTCCTCAGTCATTGTGATAACTAATTAGCCATCCAAATTGAATAAAAAAATCCTCTCCCCTCCCAAATGCTGAGTGGAAAGGATCTTCTGTAAGGCAGGTGTTCCATTTAAATCACTTTACATTCTACCCTAGGGTCATGTTTATTGGTTAGATTGAGAATGAGCTAATCTGCAGCAACATAATTGTTGGAGCACCCTTTCCATGTTCTGTGGAATGGGAATTCTTAAACTGAACTCATGGGAGTGTCTGAGGACTGAGTAACAAACGTGTTTAGCACAGTGCCTGGGAGAAAGTAAGTGCTCAGACAACCTCAGCTGTTATTATTGGCTGAAGAGAGCTCTTTTTTTCAACAGCAATGCATTTCTTACCTGTTCCTCATTTCCTCCCCGCTCTCTCTTTTTCCCTGTGTTCCCTGCCCCCATGATACCCCTGTCCAAACTCCTTGAGACCTCTGGGCAGAAGAAGGAACTGATGCTTGCGTCTCTGTTTTCACAAAACAAAGCTGTAGTTATCAGGCCAGAATCATCTCTCAGCTGAGGCTGGAGCAGTCCAGAGAGGAAAAAAGGCCACATGTTGGGTAGAGATGCCATGCTGACAGCTGGGATTCAGCCCTGAGTGTTAGCGAGTGTTGTGTGGGTGCGTTCAGGGGAGCTGGAAGCTCAGTGTGCACAACATGTGCATGCCAGGCCATCCATCTGCACACTCATGAACAGCAATGTCTAAGTAGATGCAGCCTTCACAATCTTTTACCCAGACTTTTGTTTTCTTTGCTGCAAAGCCAGGTCTTTTATAAGCCTTTGGCCATGTTTGGCAATATTCATGTCATGCCTCTTCTAGAACCTGTTCAAGCCCATCACAACGTGTGCTGCCTCTCACTCCAATTTCCCTCTCCCCAAGCATCTTCACCCAGATGGGTTTAGGTTAAAATTGGTAACACTCCTGTGGTGTGTGGGGAAGGGGAAGACATGTGACCAGGGGAGGCCTGGGGCATAACGGCTACTTAAATTCTGCTAATGGAGTGATGGAAGTCCAGCAAGGATGGTGACTGCTTTCTTCCTCACCATAATCCCCATAAGTGTGCACTTTCTTGGGTACTGCATGGCGTGTAGTTGATGGAAGA
This sequence comes from Homo sapiens, assembly GCF_000001405.40. Taxonomy (NCBI): domain Eukaryota; kingdom Metazoa; phylum Chordata; class Mammalia; order Primates; family Hominidae; genus Homo; species Homo sapiens. Next base: position 76,650,433 of record NC_000014.9, on the reverse strand, counting down.
CTCAGCCCTGTAACTTTTGCCTGGGTCAGGCCTGAGTGCATGGGTGGAGGGGAGGGGTCAAGTTTATGAGTTGATTATGAACTGATTATAAGTAGAGCAGCCTCAGCCTGTTTTAGTGCTAGTGGCAACTCCAGGGTCATTCTCAACACTACACCAACGTCCATATCCTCAGGATAGATGAAAGGAGGTGCAAGACCACTATTAGCAGAATTGCTTTTGTGTGTAGGATGGTGGGAGCTAAGAGTGAGTGCATTTGATCTTTTCAAAGTGACACTGTCAAGCTCCTTAGTAGAATCCATAGTCCCAGAAGATGAGGCTTTATTTTGTTGTGCATCTTAGCATGAGAGCAATAACTAGAGTAATAGTAGGATTGAACATGGACTCACCATGTGGCAGGTGCCAAGAACACAGTATTCTGTTCTTCACCACGTATCCACAATATGAATAGCGCTGGTACTCATGTTCCCATTTTACAGATAAGGAAACAAACTCAGGGAAATCAAGGATTTGGCTGATAAGGCCACAGAACTATTAAGAAACACAGCAGGGATTAGAATCATCTTTTGGAAATACAGTTAGATCATAAAAATAAGACCTAGTATTCCATAGTACGGTAGGGAAATTATAGTTAACACTAATTTATTGTATTTTCAAAATGGCTAGAATAATTGCAATGTCCCTAACAAAAAAGATGAATGTTTGAGGTAATAGCTCAATTACTCTGATTTGACCATTACATTGTGTACATGTGTCAAAATATCACATGTACTTCCAAAATTTGCACAACTATTATGTAACAGTTTAAAAAGTTATAAAAGAATGATCTTTTAGACACCTAAGGCTCAGCACTGTTGATATTTGGGGATAGATCATTTTCTGTTTTGGGGGGTGTCCTGGGCATTGTAGGATGTTTAACCACAACCATGTCCCCCATCTGCTAGATGCCAGGATTACTTTCCCTATACCCACCAATTGCGAAAACCAGAGATGTCTCTCTCCAGACATTGCCTGGGTTGAGAACCACTAACCTAGTCCTTTCCATCTCACACTTCTAAAAAGAGCACGGTTGGAGAGTGGCCTTCAGCCTCTACCTCTGGGTCACATGCAAGGCCCAGTCTACTGGTTTCCCTTTCAGCCTCTCCTGACTCCACTCTTCACTAGGCCTGTGTCAATTAATTCATTCATTCATTCACTCATTTATTCAATGACTACTTATTAAGCATCTGTGCTGCACCAGGAGATAGAAATAAACCATAGAAGCTCCTGCCCTCCTGGAGCCTATATTCCAGTGAATATATAAACAGTTCATAATCAACTCATACACTTGACCCCCTCCCCTCCAACCTGTGCACTCAAGCCTGACTCAGGCAAAAGTTACAGAAAGTACCTAATAGATATTAATGTAGCTATGCTAACTCATGTCATTCTCACAGCAACCATTGTTATTTGCTTTTTTTTTTTTTTGAGACAGAGTCTTTCTGTCACTCAGCCTGGAGTGCAATGGCATGATCTCCGCTCCCTGCAACCTCCGTCTCCTGGATTCAAGTGATTCTCCAGCCTTAGCCTGCTGAGTAGCTGGGGCTTTAGGTGTGTGCCTCCATAACTAGCTAATTTTTGTATTTTTAGTAGAGACGGGGTTTCACCATGTTGGCCAGGCTGGTCTCGAACTCCTGACCTCAAGTGATCTACCCACCTCAGCCTCCCAAAGTGCTGGGGTTACAGGCATGAGCCACCACACCCGGCCCTGTTATTTGCATTTTATAGGTGACCAGTCCAAGACACAGAGAGGTTAAACAACTTGCTGGAGGTCACACAGCTGGGAAGCAGTGAAGTTGAGAGTGAAACCCGCGCTGTTGGGCCCCACACCCATGCACCTGACCACTGTACTCTCCTGCCTTTCCAAACCTGGGTCTTCATTCCACAGCCCCTTCCAACTGCTTTGGATATTGTCCCACATCTGTCCCAGTGACATTTTAGACTCATAGGTAAATCTAAACTTGCCATCTTTTACCTCAAATAGCTGTCCACCTTATCTCTCCCCATGGAATCATCATTGTTCCTGTCAACCAGGCTCAAAATCTTGGTGCCATCTAGAAATCATAACCTCCATTCCCCGTAACATCTCCATTCCCAGGCCCTGCTGGTTTTTAATACGAATCTCTCGTCTTCATCCCAATGACCCAGTGAGGCAAGACTATTGTATCTTCTCTTTGTAGATGAAGAAATGGAGGATGAAAGAGGTCACGCGCCTTGCCCAAGATCACACAACTACTAAAGGTTAGAACTTAACCATGTCCTCTGATCACGAAATTTGAACAAGGAACTAATTATTTCGTGTAAAAAAATCTTGTCTCTGCACCTACCTCAAGAGCTCCTAGAAGCAAAGGCCATGACAGTGCTACATCTGCATCTCTTATGTAGAGTCTAGCATTTGTGTTGACTGGAAGAACCAGAGCTATGAAGGCCAAAGTTAGAAAGATGTAACCCAAGATGTAACCCAGACTCAGCGTCCTAAGAGTTGATGCTCTGGAAGTCCACTAGGTGGCAATGTTTCCTCCATGTAGGAGGCCATCCCAAAGCCAAAGTGCAGGGTGCTACTGAGAGGCTAGGTTGAAAGTGACCACAGCATTTGGATTTGAGGTGGTTTCCAATGAGACACACACACACCATGTTTAGAATCTTGCTGGGCATTCAAACACTGATGAAATCTTGGGGACTGTTATTAGGCAGTGGTAGAGCATAGACAAGATTTGTTTTCTAGTCTAATCCTTGACATTACCGAACAAGATGACCCTCAGGGAGTCTCAAGCTCTCTCAGCTTTTATTTTTATCATCTGCAAAGTAGGGATAAGAATATATGCTTGCTTTCGGCTAGGCACGGTGTCTCACGCCTGTAATCCCAGCAATTTGGGAGGCCAAGGCAGGTGGATCACTTGAGGTCAGGAGTTCGAGACCAGCCTGGCCAACATGGCGAAACCTCGTCTCTACTAAAAACACAAAAAAATTAGCTGGGCATGGTGGCGCACACCAGTAGTCCCAACTACTCAGGAGGCTGAGACAGGAGAATCGCTTGAATCTGGGAGGCAGAGGTTGCAATGAGCCAAGATCACACCACTGCACTCCAGCCTGGTGACAGAGTGAGACTCCATCTCAAACAAAAACCCCAAAAAACCCCCAAAACACAAAAATTAGCCGGGTGTGGTGGCAGGCACCTGTAGTCCCAGCTACTCAGAAGCAGGAGAATCGCTTGAACCTGGGAGGTGGAGGCAGTAGTGAACCGAGATCACGCCACTGCATTCCAGCCTGGGTGACAGAATGAGACTCCATCTCAAAAAAAAAAAAAAAAAAAAAAAAAAAAATCTGCTTGCTTTCACTCACAGACAGGGCCATTATGAGGCTTAAGTTGAATACATGTGAAACTAGAGATGGCTTTACAGATGTAGTTTATTATAATTATGGATGTTATGAAATTAACTTACCCATTAGTTCAATAATTTATTTTGTAGAAAAGCATTACCTAAAATCTTGCTATTCAAAGTGTGGTCCACAGACCAGCAGAACTGGCATCACCCCAGAACTGGTTAGAGCTATAGAATGAGTCTGCTGTGGACTGAAAGTTTGTGCCCCGCCTCCAGCCAGGATTTCTATGTTGAAGCCTGAATCCCCAATATGATGGTGTTTGAAGTTGGGGTCTTTGGGAGGTGATTAGGTCATGAGGGTGGGATCCTCAGAATGGGATTAGTTCCCTTATAAGAGGAGACATGAGAGAGATGATCTCTGTTCTCTGCCACATGAGGATACAGCAAGAGGGTGGCTGCCTATAAGCCAGGAAGCAGGCCCTCTCCAGATATGGAATCTGCTAGCACCTTGATCTTGGACTTCCCAGCTTCCAGAACCATTAGAAATAAGTGTTGTTTCAGCCACACAGTCTGTGGTATCTGTTATAGTAGCCCAAACTGACTAAGGCAGAACCTCATCCTAGACCTTCTGAATTGTAACACTGTGCATTTTAACAAGATCTCGAGGTAATTTGTATGCACAGTAAAGTCTGATATTAGTTAGAAAATGATTAGTTTTAGCGAATTAATAAAATAGCAAGAAAAACAAGCTCTGGAGTTGCTTGGGTGTTAATACTGATTTTGTTCAATTCAGTGACCCCCATAATATGAAAAGTGGCTGCTATGATGAGCCTGAATCTTGTTAAGCAAATTGTTTGCAAAGCTTAAAAAATGTGTCTGTATCCAAGTTAGGTTCTAGCGGGTGACTTGAAGTTGAAACAAAACATTCCCATATTTCAATCAGTCAGGATAGACTAGGTTATGCTGCAGTAACAACCAACCTGGCATTTCAGAGGCTTTAAAAGCCCCGGGTGTGTGTGCATCACAGGTGGGTAGGCGGATTCTACTCAGTCCCTCAGGGGTCCAGGCTAGTAGAGCAGCCACCACCCCAAATACTGCAGCGAAGAGAGCTCTGGGGTGGGGGGTCTTGCACTGGCAATTACAGTTCAGCTCGTATTTAACACACAGCACTTCTCCCACAAGCCATTGGTCAAAACTAGTCCCTTGACCCCATCTGCCCACAGCAGGGCAGGAAGCGCAATCGTATCCTGTGCTTAGAAGGTAAAGAGATAGAGCTATTCGGTGAACAGCACTAATAACTGCTACAAAGGTTATCACTGAGTTGGTTGGAACAGCAGCTCCCAGAACTGGGTGTACAGAAAAATTGACTAGGGCTAGCTTGTAAAATGTACAATTCCAGAGCCCCACCGTAGGGACTCTGAATCAGAATCAAGGAATCAAGTGCACCAGGTGGTTCTGATGCACTCTCTCCACAGACCAGGCTTTGGAAGCCCCTGGCTTTGAGTCCTCCTATCCCTTGATCCCATATTGAAGTTTCCTAGCACGCCATAACAAATGACCCCAAACCTAGTGCCTTCAAACAGCAGATATGTCTTCTCTCCCAGCCTCTTTTGGCTGCCGGGGCCTCGGCACTCCTTGGCTTGTAGCTGTGTAACTCCCTTTTCTGCCTATCTTCACGTGGACTTCTGCTCTGTATGTCTGTGGCTTTTCTTTTTCTGTGGATTATAAGGGGCAATTGTCATTGGATTTAGGGCCCACCTGGGTAATCCAGGATGCTCTCATTTTACGATCCTTAATTACATCTGCAAAGGCCCTTTTTCCAGATAAGGTCACATTGGGGGAACATACCTTTTGAGGGGTGTCATTCAATCCACGACAAGCACTCACAGTCACAATGAATCCAGTCTTTGCCCCTTCTGTCTGAACAGCAAGGAGCGGGCTTTGAGAGCCTCACACCACAAGGGGTCAGGCAAGCCTCATGTTTCTGCGGCTTGGGGCCCTCGGCGCCCCGCAGTCCTTTCCCTGTTGGGAAATGCTCCATGCTCCCCTGGTGGGGGTCAGTCTGGGTGAGCTGCCAGCTGGGATCCCGGACCCAACAGCCGATTTTCTCCTCATCTTCCCACAAGAAATAGAGAGATTGCTTGCTAAGAAAGCACCTCCATTTGAGCAGCATGCTCTGAAATCATTGCAGGAACTTAGATATTTCAGCAGCCTCCGACCCATCCAGGACCTGTGTGCTGATGGCCTCCCCTGCCTCAGCTGTGAGGGCTGTGTTCTTGAAAGCTCCCAAGGTTGGAGAATTCCAGGTGGATGGTCATAAGACATTAGGAGGAAAATAGGTGTGGGCATTCAGGTAATCAGACGAACGCTTATTTTCATGTTCTCTAAAAGATGATAGTAATGACCACACATTAAATAGAACACTTCAATGTCATTTGACACATCTTGAATAATAATAATGGCTCCTCAACAATTATTTTTCATTTAAGTAATTCCTGTGCTCTTCAGAAACATTTTAGCGCGTTCAATGAGAGTTTAGACACGGATCTTGCTTGGCTTTTGAGATTAGGCCAAGGAAGGGGGACAGTGTTTTGTGTGTGTGCTTTGGCATTCAGGACCAAAGTGCTTGACATTTTACAACAAGGAGTCCCCAAGTCACCGTCCCTAGGTCATCACCTGGCACACCTGCGGTTTCTCTGCACGGATGGTTGCCGAGAGGCACGTGGAAGTGCGTCGGAGGGGACTCGAGTTTTTCTTGAGCATATTCGCAACAGAAGGGTGGGCTTGCTAGGAGCTTGGACCATCAGACCCTGGCCTTCTGGTCACACTGGCCCCATTGCCACAAGCTGTCAGCCGTGTAGTCACGTCCTCAGAGAGCCCAGCCCAAACAGCCACAGCCTGCATCTCCTTTTCATTGCACTCACTGTGAGGTCCCTCCGTGGCTAGATGGTTGTTTCAGTGTTTCCTTGGTTTCACGTTTGGCATTTTCCCTCCTGGGATGTTCCCGGGGGAACAGTGCCTTTTATATGCAACCCTCTGAGGGTGAGGCCTTGCCCATCCTCCTCTCTGCAGCTTCCCTGGTGCTTTGTAATGTCTAGCACTGAGTAGGTCTTTGATAAATGTTCTTAGGAAAAATGAGTGTCCGCTTGGTTGTGCCTGGAGCTGACCTTCAGGGAGACCTGCTTCTGTTTGTGCAGAAACATTTCCCTCTGGGAAAAGGAAATCTTCTGTTTATTACTGTGAAAGTTTCTTTTTGACCTGGGGACTTTTCAGAGCCTTCAATATGCAGGATGTGAATTATAATGGCCACGAGGGGAATTTAGCGTGGGAATATCAACCTTCTGTCTTCCCGGCTTGGAGCTGTTTTCCCAGAGAAGACCCAAGGCAGGCCCAGGTTCCATCCCCCTGTCTGGTTGTACTGGCCAGCGAGGGCTCCCCACTGGCTGGGGGACCCTTGTCTCTGCCCTGCCAAAGAGAAGTGGCATGAATTCTGGCAGAGCCCTGAACTCTGTGTTGCAGTGGCCATCTCCAAGCTGTGTCACGGTGAGCAAGTCACCTGGGCTCTTTGGGCCTGGGTTTCCTCACTTATTTCATTTAATCAACACATGTTTATTGAGTGCCTGTTAGGTGCTTGGCACGCCACTAGGAACTGGGGCTAAAATAGTGAGCAACGAAGACAGTCCTTCCTTCATGGAGCTCTCAGTGTGGTCAGGAAGAAAGACGCTTCCAAACAGCCCATGTACCAGTCTAAAGATGCAACCATGACGAGCTCCATGGAGAAGTCACAAATGGCATCTGAGATCCTGGGATGGGAAGAGTTGACCTAATGAGGGTGGAGAGCCATGTCAGGGAAGGCTGCTGGAGCTGGAATCCGAAGGCAGGGAAGAGCCACCCATGCACAGGAAACTGCACGGGAACTTCATGGGCTCAGGCAGTTTGGTGGGCGTGACTGTGGCAAAAGGATGCCAGTGGGTCTGGGGCAGAGACAGTGAGGAGGTGGGGAGCAGCAGAAGCCAGAGAGGAGGGCAGGAGAAGGCAAAGGAGGACCTTGTGGGCCACATTAGGGGGATGAGGCTTTACCCTGAATCTGTGGAAAGCCATTGATGTGTCTGATGTCTGTGCATGCAGGGGTGGGTGGCACAAAGCTGACACATGACCAGATTTGCATTTTGAGAAAGCACCGTTCTGGGCAATGGATTGAAGATGAACCAGAGTAGGCAGCAGTAGGCCAGACAGGAGGCTAGTGCTATCATTCAGACGGGAGAAGGTGGTCATGCAGAATCAGTCCTCGAATCTTTATTGAGCATCTACTACATGCCAGGTTTAGTGAGAAGGGAGATAGACAGTAAGTATAATAAATAAGTAAATACATTGCAAAGTATTATGTGCAATGGAAAAAGAAAAAGAAATTGAAGAGGGTAAGCAAGATTGGGAATCGGGATGGCTTGATGGCAGAGATCCTTAGAAGATAAAAATGGCGGTGCTCTATGAAGAAGGATCAGGTTGGGGGGATTAAGTGAGAGACAGTTGTCAAGGCCAATTCCTAGGTTTTTGGTTTGTGCAATTGAGGAATGGTTTAAAAAGAGTTGCCCAGGCGTGGTGGCTCATGCCTATAATCCTAGCACTTTGGGAGGTCGAGGCGGGCAGATTGCCTGAGGTCAGAAGTTTGAGACCAGCCTGGCCAACATGGTGAAACCCTGTCTCTACTAAAAATGCAAAAAAATTTAGCCAGGCATGGTGGCGGGCATCTGTAATCCCAGCTACTCGGGAGGCTGAGGCATGAGAATCACTTGAACCTGGGAGGCAGAGGTTGCAGTGAGTCGAGATCAGCCACTGCACTCCATCCAGCCTGGACAACAAGAATGAAAGTCTGTCCCAAAAAAAAAAAAAAAAAAAGAAAAGAAAAGAAAAGAAAGAAAAAGCATATTAGACCAAACATTACTCTTCTTTCTGATTCTGTAGTCCCATGGGCTCTGAGACAGTGACCCCATCACCTCACCTCAGCTGTTGCAGATGGGTCTGTAATCTTATCTCCACAACCCCAGAGGACTTCCTGCTTTGGAAGCCCCTGTCCTGGATTTGCCACATAAGGATGCGGGCGCTGTTGCTGTCTGCGTGTGGCAGGTCCACTCTGTGGTCCACTGGAGTTCCTGTTGTATCTCCATCAAACTCTCTCCCTGGGGTTGGTCACATTTGCCCCAGGAGAGTGCTTACTGATTAGGGCTCAATTAACATTCAGTATTGGTGCTACTCATTGCTGCCAGCATCCTCCGTGTAGCCCAGCCCTTACCACATCCTCCAGCCTACTCGGTGTCATCTGTCTCCTGAAGCAATTCTACCTTGACCCTCCTGGCTGGTGACCAAAGAATAAGGTGCTGCGGGGTAGGTTTCTTGAGTTGGGCTGGGAGGAGGGAGCAGGAGCTTTAGTAGCTGAACTCTAAGATCTGCCTATTTCCAGGGTCCTGGGCCACCTGGCAGGACTTCCCACAGCTGGCGATTTCCAGTAGAATCCCAGTGACAAGAGAGAGATGGGGTTGGCTGACCCCGAGACTTGAGTCTGAGTAGTCCCTGCTGTGCCCTCACTATAGAAAGGCTGAGGCTTCCTGTCAGGCTCCACCTTGGCACATGCCTGGCGTGGACAAAGAGATATGACAGAATAAAACCATAATTAACATGTATTAAATGCTTCCTATGTGCTGAAGAGCTTTCCATGGATTACTTCATTTAAACCTCAGAGCAACTCTGTGAGGTAAGTGCTATTAACATCATCTTTCTCATTTTAGAGGTGATGTAATCAGGCTTGTATAAGCTGCCCAAGGTCACAGAGCTAGCAAAGTACAGAGCTAGATTCACACCCAGGCCAGCTCTGCTCTGAACCACTGTGCTCCAGCAACTGATGGCTCAGCCTGGAGGTTACCCGACAGGGGATCCCAGTGTTTGGACTCAGTCCTGACTTTGCATTGCTTTATGCAGCAATTTGGAGCAAGTCCATCTGTTCATTCATTGATTCACCAAATATTGATTTAAGGCCTTCTATGCAAGGGCTGGGGGCAGTGAAATGATGTCATCTTGGAAGAGCTCCCAGTCTGGCTACTGAGACAGACACACAAGCACATCATCAGGGTTGTAGAGGGACAGGTGCTTTATGGAGCAGGAGAGGAGAAGGTGACAATGCTTGTCTGGTATGGGAGTGGGAGGTCTGGGAAGAGGACACGACTTTTGCAGAGGAGAAAGGCGTTTTCCAAGGCTTTCCAGGCAGACAGAACAGGGAGCGCAGAGCACTGGCCCTCGCTGGCCAGTACCCATGATGTTTCAGGGACTTCAGGCTGGCTCTGCGATTACAGCAGAATTTCCCAAAGTGTGGACCTTGGGCCACCTACATTAGAACGATTTGGGGTGTGGGAACATTGCAGGCTTCACCCCAGACCCACTGAATCAGAATCTCTAGCTGCTGGGGCCCAGAAATCTGCATTTCCTCAGTCCCTTCAGGGGATGCTAATGTGTAGGGAAGTCTGGGGTACGCAAGGAGAAGCAGGACAGCAGCCACTTCTGGGTTCATAACAGGGTTGGCAAGCTTTTGCTGGACAGGACCAGACAGTAAAGATTTTAGGCTTTGTGTACAAAGAGGAGAGTTGAAGATACATGCTAAACATAACCACTTACAAAAACAGGTGGTGGAGGGGGCTGGACTTGGCCCATTTTAGTTTGACCTTAACCTGCCCGCTCATGGTTTAGAAAGTTAACCATGTTAACTGGTGTGGGTGCAAGTGAAGACAGGGACATGAATGTCACACCTAGGGAAGCAACGGAAAGGTCTCAAGGGCCATAAAGCCCTAAGAGGGGCAGAGAAGGCTGAGAAATATGTCAGTGGAAGGAAGGACAGCGCTGGTCAAGAGCTTGGCAGGAAGGGGGCGGGCAGAGGAAGGAGGTAGCAACTTGTGCCTTGAGCACTTGAGTGGATGGGGATATTACTAGCTTACTATAGTAGCCTATGTAATAATTTATAAATGAGCTGTGTAATAACCCATATATAAACATAGTCAAGTGCTGAGCAGAGGCCCCATGGATTGAGAACTGGAAGGAAGCCATTGTATTTGGCCCTGTGAGGTAATTAATGACCTTTGTGGGAATAGTTTTTGGAAAGAAGTGAGAGCCAGATGTTGGTGGGTTCAAGAGGAACAGGCAGAGAAGAAATGGAACAGGTCAACCCAATGGGTCTCCCAAGTTCTGGCCTGGTGAGTCCGGCTCCGGTTTCCTTTGGCAGATAGTCACACGAGCCAACAGAAACCACACGATGTGGTCAGTGCTCTATTAAAGGCAGCTGCAAAGAAGTCCAATGAGGTAAATTACAGAACTGTGGATACTATTGTAAAATGCCACTGCCTTTAATCCTGAGCTTCCCAGCAACCATGGTAAAGAGGAAAACATGTTCCTATTGTCCAATATGTTATTCCTAAACTTCCATCATTCTTGAACAACTGTAACATTTTTGCCTTTCCTGTGGTTCTAGCAAAATTGTTACTTACTTGACATTTTAAAAAATCAATACAATTATTCAATTTAATTTAAAAATCTTAAAAACTTGATATTTTTGTAAACGGAAAACCACCATCACTAACCACAAATAGAGGATAATGACACAGATAAGTACATATCATTAAAATTAAGAATTCTTGTCTGTTAATATCACTAAAATAACTAAAATTAGTCTATAGGCTACTTACAATATGCCAGTTACATAGTGGGATAATAAAATAATGCATATAAGGTCAATTGAAGACCATCTTATTTGCTGGCATAAAATTCAAGGAAACATTTATTGCAAAAGACACAGAAATTCCAATCAAATGGATGTTTCTTATGAACCCCTGTAAAAGTTAAGGACATAAGATTTAATCTTAACACACTGAATACTTTTCTGTGGGCAGCTAAGAGAACAGCAGACAAGTATGTTTCTTCTGATGATCTAACCCAGGAGTCTGCAAACTTTTTCTGTTAAAGGGCCAGATATTAAGTAATTTATCCTTTGCAGGCCATATGGTCTTAGTTGCAACAACTCTATTCTGACTATATCGGGAAAGCAGCCATAGGCAATACATAAACAAATGGGTAGGGCTTTCTTTTTGTCTGAGATGGAGTCTCACTCTTGTCATCCAGGCTGGAGTGCAGTGGTGTGATCTCGACTCACTGCAACCTCTGTCTCCCGGGTTCAAATGATTCTCCTGCCTCAGCCTCCCGAGTAGCTAGGATTACAGCTGCCCACCACCACACCTGGCTAATTTTTGTATTTTTAGTAGAGACGGGGTTTCACCATGTTGGCCAGGTTGGTCTCAAACTCCTGACCTCAGATGATCCGCCCATCTCTGCCTCCCAAAGTGCTGAGATTACAGGCGTGAGCCACCGCGCCTGGCCTGTGTTTCAATAAAACTTAATTTATGGACGATGACATTGGAATTTCATATAATTTTCACAGTACAAAATATTATTCTCTTTTGATATTTTCAACCATTTAATAATGTAAAAACCAGCTTTAGCTCGTGGACTTTGCACAAACAGGTAGCGGGCTGCCTTTGGCCCCTGGGCCAGATGTTACTGAATCCTCAGTCAGGACTCGGAGAAGCTAGTGGAATGGAGAATGAATGTGTTCTTAACACTGTTCTCCTCTCTCCATCCCCAGTGCTGAAGGGCTTATACAGACTGGTGGCAAGGCCATATAAGCGATTGGCAGCAGAGTTAGGACTAGAACTCAGAATTTTCTTTTTTGGATTCTGTGCTCTTCCTTGTCTAGATGCTGTCTCCCAGGTAGAGGAAGCCTTTACTCTGTGCCTGGCTGATGTAGATAGAACCTCACTTAATCTCTTTGTAAATAGAACCTCACTTAATCTCCTGGCATCCTTTGTGTGGCATATGATCCCATTTTGCAAATGAGGAAACAGAGGTTTAAAGAGGTTAGGAATCAAAAACTTGCTAAGTCATGGAGCCAGAATTTATACCCAGATCTGTCTGATTGCAGAGACTTACTGTCTGCATTATAATTGTGTAGTCCCTTCCTGTTTCTTTGGGCACTTGGTCACATTGGAACAATGACTGCTAAGGAATTGCCTTGGCCAGGCGTGGTGCCTCATGCCTGTAATCTCAGCACTTTGAGAGGCTGAGGCAGGAAGACTGCTTGAGCCCAGGAGTTTAAGACCAGCCTAGGCAACATAGCGAGACCCCTGTCTCTCTCCATACACGCACACATAAAATTAGCTGGGCGTGGTGGCATGTACCTGTGGTGCCAACTATTCAGGAGGCTGAGGTGGGAGGATCACTGGAGCCCGGAGTGAACCACTGCACTCCAGTCTGGGTGACAGAACAAGACCCTGTCTCAAAAAAAAAAAAAAAAAAAAAGAATTGCCTTGACTTTGATGATGACTCTTTTGCCAGTCTTCTTCCTCTCACCCAGCTGAGCTCATCCCCCACAAGACTGCTTTTTATAAGTGAATGGCTTGTGGGAGAAGAAAGCATAGCTCCTACTTTTCAGAAGCAGATGGGCTCTGTGAAAGATGAGGAGAGGGCAGGGAACACACAAGGGAAGAAAGGCACTGCTTTTCCCCTGGATTCCATTTTTTTTTTTTGAAACGGAGCCTCGCTCTGTTGCCCAGGCTGGAGTGCAGTGGTGCAGTCTTGGCTCACTGCAACCTCTGCCTCCCAGGTTCAAGCAATTCTCTGCCTCAGCCTCCTGAGTAGCTGGGATTGCAGGCACCCGCCACCACACCTGGCTAATTTTTGTATTTTTAGTGGTGACGGGGTTTGACCATCTTGGCCAGGCTGGTCTTGAACTCCTGACCTCGTGATCCACTTGCCTTGGCCTCCCAAAGTGCTGGGATTACAGGCATGAGCCACAGCACCTGTCCTGGATTCCTTTTTAAAAAGAGGATTTTATTGAGGTATAATTGACATACAAAAATAACACATTTAAAATGTACAATTTGACAAGTTTTGACATATTTAAACACCACAATCTAGATAATAAACATATGCATTGTCACCCCCTAGTGCCCCTTTGTAATCACTCCTCACCCATTCCCCTCCTCACTCCATCTCCTGGCAACTGTTCATCTGCTTCTCATCACTAAATACTAGTTTGCCTTTTCCAGAATTTTTTGATCATTGAAATCATACCATACATATTCTTTTTTGTCTTATTCTTTCATCCAGCATAATTACTTTGTGATTCATCTTAGTATGCATCAATAACCAATTCCTTTTCATTGCTGTGTGGTATTCCACTATATGGATATACCAAATGTTTATCAATTCACCTGTTGATGACATTTGGGGATTTTGCAGTTTTTGGTTATTACAAATAAAGTGTCTATGAGCATTCACATATACATTTTGGTATTAACACATGTTTTTATTTCTTTTGTGCAAATATCTAGGAGTAGAATGGCTGGATCATTTATCAAGTATTTTTTTTTGTTTTTTATTTTAGAAAGTGCCAAACTGTTTTTCAAACTGGTTCTACCATTATATATGCCCACCAACAGTGTGTGGGAGTTCCACTTGTTCCACACTTGTTCCACATTTTTGTGAACATTTGATGTGCTCAGCCCTTCACATTTAGATATTCTAATACATACGTGGCTTTAACTTGCATTTTCTGATGACTGATAATGTTAAGCATCTTTTCATGTGTTTATTTGCCATTTTTATATCTTCTTTACTGAAACATCTGTTCAAATCTTTTGCCCATTTGAAAAATTGTGTTCTTTGTTTTCTTTTTATTGAGCTTTGAAAGGTCTTTGTTCTAGATACGTATCCTTTCTTTAATCTGTGGTTTTCTTTTTAATTATCTTAAGCTTATGATCACACATAATTTTAAAATTTGTGTGTATCTCCTCTACTTTAATCCTTTTAAGTTGGCAAAAGCACCACTTCCAATCACAAATATACAGCAGTTCTACAGTTTTATGTTTCTGAATGGGTGCGGTGGCTCATGCCTGTAATCTCAGCACTTTGGGAGGCCAAGGTGGGTGGATCACCTGAGGTCGGGAATTCAAGACCAGCCTGACCAACCTGCAGAAACCCCATCTCTACTAAAAATACAAAATTAGCTTGGCATGGTGGCATATGCTTGTAATTCCAGCTACTCAGGAGTCTGAGGCAGGAGAATAGTTTGAATCCAGGAGGTGGAGGTTGCAGTGAGCCGAGGTCGTGCCATTGCACTCCAGCCTGGGCAGCAAGAGCAAAACTCTGTCTCAAAAACAAAAACAAATAAAAAAACCCCCCCGACAATCCTAAATTATAACTTAGTTTGGCTTAGATTGTAAAAAATTAAAGAGTGAAGTTTCCTTTCCGTGCTACCTGCAGAGGGATCCATACGGCGTTGTTCTGGATTCCCGTCATAACTTAAAGGGAAACTTTCACAATGTCCGGAGCCCTTGATGTCCTGCAGATGAAGGAGGAGGATGTCCTTAAGTTCCTTGCAGCAGGAACCCACTTAGGTAGCACCAATCTTGACTTCCAGATGGAACAGTACATCTATAAAAGGAAAAGTGATGGCATCTATATCATAAATCTGAAGAGGACCTGGGAGAAGCTTCTCTGGCAGCTTGTGCTGTTGTTGCCATTGAAAACCCTGCTCATGTCAGTGTTAAATCCTCCAGGAATACTGGCCAGAGGGCTGTGCTGAAGTTTGCTGCTGCCACTGGAGCCACTCCAATTGCTGGCCGCTTCACTCCTGGAACCTTCACTAACGAGATCCAGGCAGCCTTCTGGGAGCCACGGCTTCTTGTGGTTACTGATCCCAGGGCTGACCACCAGCCTCTCACAGAGGCATCTTAAGTTAACCTACCTACCATTGCTCTGTGTAACACAGATTCTCCTCTGTGCTATGTGGACATTGCCATCCCATGCAACAGCAAGGGAGCTCACTCAGTGGGTTTGATGTGGTGGATGCTGGCTTGGGAAGTTCTGCGCATGCATGGCACCATTTCCCGTGAACACCCATGGGAGGTCATGCCTGATCTCTACTTCTACAGAGATCCTGGAGAGATTGAAAAAGAAGAGTAGGCTGCTGCTGAAAAGGCAGTGACCGAGGAGGAATTTCAGGGTGAATGGACTGCTCCAGCTCCTGAGTTCACTGCTACTCGGCCTGAGGTTGCAGACTGGTCTGAAGGTGTGCAGGTGCCCTCTGTGCCTATTCAGCAGTTCCCTACTGAAGACTGGAGCGCTCAGCCTGCCATAGAAGACTGGTCTGCAGCTCCCACTGCTCAGGCCACTGAATGGGTAGGAGCAACCACTGAATGGTCTTAAGCTGTTCTTGCATAGGCTCTTAAGCAACATGGAAAAATGGTTAATGGAAAATAAACATCAGTTTCTAAAAAAAAAAAAAAAAAAAAGAGTGAAGTTTAACTTGCTACTATTTTAAAAGCATGTGACCTTGTAGAGCATCTATAAAATGTGAGAAGTGTTAAATAATCTTTGATATTACACATAAACCACACTAAAATGCCTTTCAATAAGTAAAAAGAACCATTTTAAATACAGAGAATTCTAATTAGATTGGCACAGTTAAGGCCAAAAATATAAAGTAGACATTGCTCCCTTATTTATCTTCAACTCTTGCCTTTAAGAGGCAAATGAACACAAAACACAGGTGAATCTTGCTTGGTTCTGAGACAGTGAAGGAATTTCCCCAGTATTTAAATATATTCACATAACCAGTTATAGAAATCTAAATATAAAACCAATCTCCAGTGAGTTTTAAGATGGCATTCACCATCTTTGTGAAAAGTTGAACACTACTAATGAAGTCTAATCATATCTTTAGAAGGGGTAAACAGTGATAGCATTTACTGAATTGGAATTACTATTAACATTCAAAAACTGAACATACTCATTTAACCACAAGCCAGCCTTAGTTTTAAGTCAGGACTGCCCAACAGAATATTCTGTCAGTCATTCATGATCTGAATTCTGGTGTATGAGATCTATTATAGTCCACATAAAAAAGTCATGAAACATTTCTGTTTTGTAATTAATAAGGCAGTGACCCATTATTACTCAATAGTAGCTTTTTTGAGATAAGCTATCAAGTCTGCCCTTTCTGTCTTCTTCTTAATGCCGGCAAAGATCACTTTTGTTCCAGGGATGTACTTCTTGGGAGTCTCCAAATACTCCATCAGGGTATCCTCTCCCCACGTGATGCCTTTGTTCTTACTGGCATCTGTGTAAGAGAATACAGCAGCCTGACCTGTCTTCCGCCCGAAGAGACCATGGAGATTAGGCCTAGTCTTGTGCTGGCCTCACTTTTCCACAGTGTGGCACTGGGCACACTTCTGAACAAAAATCTTGCCTTTCTCAGCATCACTCATATTTAATTCTCTGTTTCATCGCTGGGGCAACGAAGGTTCCCATTCTGAAGCCGGACGTCCCACTCTCTAGATACATATCTT
This sequence comes from Homo sapiens, assembly GCF_000001405.40. NCBI lineage: Eukaryota > Metazoa > Chordata > Mammalia > Primates > Hominidae > Homo > Homo sapiens. Next base: position 76,633,632 of record NC_000014.9, on the reverse strand, counting down.
TTATCAGATATTAAGATCACAAATATTTTTTCCCAGCATGTGGCTTGCCTCTTCACTCTCTTAAAAGACTTTCATATGTAACTAACCTGCACATTGTGCACATGTACCCTAAAACTTAAAGTATAATAATTAAAAAAAAAAAAAGACTTTCAAAGACCAGAATTTTTTTTTTTTTTTTTTTTTTTTTTTTGAGATGGAGTCTCGCTCTCTTGCCCAGGCTGGATGCAGTGGTGTGATCTGGGCTCACTGCAGGCTCCGCCTCCCAGGTTCATGCCATTCTCCTGCCTCACCCTCCTGAGTAGCTGGGACCACAGGCGCCCGCCACTACTCCCGGTTAATTTTTTGTATTTTTTAGTAGAGACGGGGTTTCACCGTGTTCACCAGGATGGTCTCGATCTCCTGACCTTGTGATCCACCCACCTCGGCCTCCCAAAGTGCTGGGATTATAGGCATGAGCCATGGCGCCCGGCCCAGAAGTTTTAAATTTTGACAGATTCCAACATAATCTTTTATGGATTGTGCTTTTAATGTCTTACCTAAAAAATCTTTGCCTAACCCAAGATCACAAAAGCTTTTCACTTATGCGTTCTTTTAAAGTTTTATAGATTTAGGTTTAACATTTCATTCTATGATCAATTTTGAGTTTGTTTTTGTATATGGTGTAAGGTATATGTCGAAGTTCAACTTTTTCCATATGAATATTCAGTTGTTCCAGCAGCATTTGTTGAAAAGACTATACTCTTTCCGCTGAATTGCCTTTACGTCTTTTTCAAAAATCAGTTGATCATGTGTGTGGGTCTATTTCTGGATTCTCTATTCTATTTCGCAAATTTATTTGTCTATATTGATGCCAATATCATACTATTCTGATTACTGTAGCTTTATGATGAGCTATGAGATCAGGCTGTGTTAGTCCTCCAACTTTGTTCTGAAAGACTCCTCCAACCTTCCCTCTCCTCAGAAAACAAAGCTAGAGTTGATGTGAAGAGTTCTGGTTTTCCTTTTTTTTTTTTTTTGAGACGGAGTCTCACTCTGTCGCTCAGGCTGGAGTGCAGTGGCACGATCTCGGCTCACTGGAAGCTCCGCATCCTGGGTTCAAGCAATACTGTGCCTCAGTCTCCCGAGTAGCTGGGATTACAGGCGCCTGCCACCACAGGTGGCTAATTTTTTGTATTTTTAGTAGAGACGGGGTTTCACCATCTTGGCCAGGATGGTCTTGAACTCCTGACCGCGTGATCCACCTGCCTCAGCCTCCCAAAGTGCTGGGATTACAGGCATGAGCCACTGTGCCCGGCTTGGTCTTCCTTCTTTGCTTGGGCATTGAGTTGAGAGATTTTTTTAGGAGCAATCTTCCTCCATCCTCGACCATCTCTGCTAAGCTCCACTGGCTGTATTGGAGACACCTGAAACTCTAAGTTCTTGCCATACCACAGTCTCAGTCTATCTGAATGAAGTGGCCATGTCTTGTGCCTTGAGACCAAGGATCAGTTTCCAAGGAAAAGAAGACAAGTATACAGTGATCACAAGAGGGGCCCAGGAGGTAGCCTGGCACATGGCTGCCCTGCTCCGTGTTGGAATGTAGGAAACTGACTCAATTAGAATCTCTTTTGTGGAGTAAAAATGTGAGATAAAGACAGAATGAGGTCAGATGGCCATTTCTGAGAGGAAGCTGGATAGCCTGGTTATTTGAACTGTTCTGTCTGAAACATGCTGTGGTTCCCATTCTTTTCTCCCCAAATCTGCTCTTTGCTCAGAGGCCTCTGTTAAAGCCACCATCATACTTTTGCTGTACGAGCCAGAGTCATCATGGACACCTCTTACTCCTCCACTCCCATCACCAAGTTGGTCCCCAAGTGCTGTCACTTCAACCTTCTAACTTTCTCCCCAACCCATCCTCTTCTCTCTGTCTCCTTGGTAACCACCTGGCCTACCTGCTATTATCTTGCCCATGAATGACTTCAATGGCACCAACTGGTCTCTCAGCTTCCTCTCCGTTTACCACATGGCTCCCAGAGGAAATTTTTTTAATTAAACTTTTTATTTTGAGATAATTGTAGATTCACATGCAGTTGTGAGAAATGATACAAAGAGCTCCCATGTACCCTTCACCCTGTTTCCCTCAATAGTAACATCTTGCAAAACTACAGTATAATATCACTACCAGGATATCAACATTGATAAAATAAAAAACAGTTCTGGTGGCACATCGGTCCTTTGTTGTATGAGTTTTCTAGGCCTGCTGTAAGAAATGACCGTAAACGTGGTGGCTTAAGACAATAAGACATTTATTCTCACCGTTTTGGAGGCCAGAAGTCTGAAATCAAAGTGTTGGCAGGGCCATCCTCTCTCTGAAGGCTCTCGGGGAGAACCTTTCCTATCCCTTCCAGCTTTGGGTGGCTCCCGGCATTCCTTTGTTCATACCAGCATAACTCCAATCTCTGCCGGCATCTCCACCTCCTTTCTTCTCCCTGTCTCTCTGTGCATGTTCCCTTCTCTTTCTATAAGGATATCAGTCATTGGATTTAGGGCTCATCTTAATCTAGAAAGATCTCATCTTGAGATCCTTGTGTTAACTACATCTGCAAGCAAGGTCATATCTGAGGTTCTAGGTGGATGTGAATTTTGGGAGGATACTATTCAACCCATGACACTAGTATATTTGTTGGCCCGGGCTGCCATAACAAAATACCACAGACTGAGTGTCTTAAACAGTAGATATTTATTTCTCATAGTTCTGGAGGCTAGGAGTTCAAGTTCAGGGTGCTGGCTAATTCAGTTCCTGGTGAGGACCCTTTTCTGGCTCGCAGATGGCCACCTTCTCGCTGTGTTCTCACATGATGGAGAGGGAGAACGCTGGTGTGTCTTCCTCTTTAATAAAGGCACCAGCCCCATTGGATTAGGGCCCCACTATTATGACCCCTTTTAACCTTTGTCACCTACTCACAGACCCTGTCTCCAATAGAGGCATATTGGGGGTTAGGGCTTCTGCATATGAATTTCGGGGGTGGGGGGCACAAGCATTCAGTCCATAACAGCTCATGCTGCCCTTTTATAAGCCAAACTCTTCTCCTTCTATCTCACCCCATCTTTGACCACGGCAACCACTAATCTGTTCTCCATTTCTGTAATTTTGTCACTTGAAGAATGTTATATAAATGGAATCATACAGTATGGAATCTTTGGGGACTGGCTTTTTTTGCTAGCATAATTCCCAGAGGGATCTTTTTAAGATGCAAACCTGAGCACGTCACACCTCTGCTTCCAACCCTTTATTGCCCCTTGCTGTCCCTCTGCCCGGACCACACCCCCTCACCCAGCCCCTCACTCTTCCTCCTCTAGTCTCAGGTTAATGTCACCGAGGCTTCCTCTAGACATGCCGAAGACCACTGTCTTGTCCTCTCCCTTCCTAATGCCTGTAGTATTGGTAAATAGTTACTCAGTGTTGTCTTACTTTCCAGGAGGGAACCTGTCTTTCTTGTTCAGATTTTAATTCCTAGAGCTGAACGCTTGGTGTATAAAAGATATTTAATGAATGTGTGAATGAATACATGAATCAATAATGTAAGGTATCTAGCGTAGAAAATTATACCTAGGAGGTGCCCATGGTATGGCTAATGGAAGGATGGAAGGAAAGAAGGAAGGAAGACAGAAAGGGAGGCAGGGAGAGAGGGAGGGAAAGAGACATCTCCTGTATTCTGTAGCTTTAGAAACTCTGAGACTCAGAATAATAATATGGCCACAGAGATGCCACCCAAGCTGCGCTCTGTGAACTTTCCATGAACTCACCACAGAACGTTCTATTGGACAGCATTAATCTAGAGGGAATCATTCCTCTCCCATTCTCAGTTCACATGCTTGATGGTGTTGACTGCCCAAAGATGCATGGATGAACATGTGACCTGCAACCTGCCAATCAGGCCATTGCATGTGACTCAAGTCACAATCAGAAAAAACGTTGGGACTTTTGCTTACATGACCACAAAAAGACATTCTCTTTCCACTGATATGAACTGGGGTAGGGAGGTGGGGGAATTTAGGCGGGAGCTCTTGGCAGCCATTTTGTTCTGATACAGAACCAGAGAATGAAGCCGATAAAGAGGAAAGTGGAGCTGAGAATTAGGTCTTGATGATACTTCTCGAATCTTTAGATTGAAATTGTGCCTGAGGAGAGACAGTTAAATTCAGTGCACCAAATAAATTCCTTTTTTGTTTAAGACTTTTTTTTTTCCTACTTGAACTGACAGAACACTGATTAAACACACAGAGTAACCATTGTCAGTCACTTCCTCTTTTACCCTCAGGTTCCCTGTCTGAGAAGAGAGGAGGTTGAAATAAGTGGCTCACTTTAGTTTTTTTTTTTTTTTGAGACAGAGTGTCACTCTGTCACCCAGGCTGGAGTGCAGTGGCGCGATCTCGGCTCATTGCAACCTCCGCCTCCCAGGTTCAAGCGATTCTCCTGCCTCCTGAGTAGCAGGGACTACAGGCATGGGCCACAACGTGCAGCTAATTTTTGTATTTTTAGTAGAGATGGGGTTTCACCATGTTGGCCAGGCTGGTCTCAAACTCCTGACCTCGTGACCCACCAGCCTCTGCCTCCCAAAGTGCTGGGATTACAGGCGTGAGCCACCGCGCTTGGCTCACTTTAGTTCTTCAAACATATATTGAGCGTGCATTGCCAGGTATTTGTGCTTCGTACAGAATGGTGAATTAGATCCTGTCCTTCCCCTGTAAGAATTCACGAGTATAAACCTAATAGTAATATGCCATGAGAATTGCTTATGATTGACATGGAACCACAGAGGACATGCTTCATTCAGCCTTGGAGAAGAATTTACTGAGAAGGTCTCATGAAGCCTGGGTTTTGAAAAATGTAGGGTTTTTCCTAACAGAAAAATCAAGGGAAGGCATTTTAGTTAAGAAGAAAGTATGAGCAAAACTCCAAATTAAGAAAGCTCATGATCTGCTTGGAAAATAGTAGTTCTTTATTCTCAGAGCTGACATTATAAGAGTAGAAAGGATGGGCTACACCCTAGGAGAGGCTGGTGGGGCCTGGGTGCCATGGCCGTGCTTAAATGCCATGCTGGGGACTTTAGGCTTTCTCCTGTAGGAGAAATGCAAGCGGGGTAGTATGATGATCAGACTTGCATTTGGAAAGATTACCCTTGTGAGCAAGGAAGACAGATTGTGGGTGGAGAGAGACTGGAGGCAGAGTGGCTGGTTAGGAAGTTATTGCAATTGTTGCAGTGAACAATGACACAACTAAACTGTGCATTCCAGAGTAATTTGCAAAGTATTAGGTGCAGAATGGTAGATGCTCAAAACATGTTTGTGGAATAAACATTGATGAGTGATGGGGAGCATGTTATGGAAGAGGATGTCTTGATCATCTGAAGGTCATGAGTAGGGTGATGGATGGAGAGGGTAAAGAAGGGAATTGGAGGTGTCAAAGCCCACAGAGTCCAAATTAGGACACCACTGATATTTGCAAGTGCACTTCTAGTAGAGTGGAAGGGTGGGGATCTGAAGCAGTGCACTGGTTAGCAATGACAGCCAATGCAGTGGCTCTTAAAGGAGGGTGGGGGTTAGGAGAAGGAGAGAGGGCAGTAGAGGGAGTAGAAGAAAGTGGAGTGGTACAGCTGTTTCTTGTCTTCCAAGCCCCTGTTCTCTCACTTCTTACTTCCTAACAGAACCCCAGTTTTGTTAAGGTTTTTGTCCCACTCCAATGAAACCTTTTTGACTCAGAGTTGCCGGGATGGATGCTGATTAAGCCAATCTCAGCAATTCTATGCCTCTTTGCCATTGATTGGCTTAGGAACACTGGCTTAGGTCCATCAGTGCGGGGTGTTCCCCTGGCCACTGATTTATTGTCCAGGAATGGGCACTTGACTTCATGGTCCAATCAGACTGATCGAGGGAACAGTTTTTCTGAATAAGGAAATGTGTGGCCGTGATGCTGCTGGCCACCGTATAACCATCACGAGGGAAGCCATGTGAGGACAGAGTGCTGACCCTGCTCCTGACAGCCACTGGAGACTGCCTGAGACCCAGGCTTCTCACTAATGAGAGATAATACAGTTTACGATTGTTTAAAGCATTTTGGTTGGGTTTTTTGTTACACGCAGCTGTGGATTTTATTTTAGGGATGATGGATACTCAGGGTTAAGGGGGGAGATTCCAGAGAAGAGAAAGAGATTAAAGACACAAAATGGACAAAGAGGAGAAACAGGAGAGTTGATGGATCCAATTCCGAAAAGTGGGAGGCTGGGTGTGGTGGCTCATGCCTGTAATCCCAGCACTTTGGGAGGCCAAGGTGGCTGGATGACTTGAGGTCAGGAGTTCGAGATCAGCTGGGCCAGCATGGCAAAACCCTGTCTTTACTAAAAATAAAAAAATTAGCCGGGCATGGTGTGAGGCACCTGTAATTCCAGCTACTCAGGAGGCTGAGGCAGGAGAGGCAGAGGTTGCAGTGAGCCGAGATCGCACCACTGCACTCCAGCCTGGGCAACAGAGCTATATATCTATCTATCTATCTATATATATATAGATATATATATAGCTATTGCTACATATTAATAGATATATATAGCTATTGCTATATATTAAATAGCAGTACATATACAATACAAATAGCTATTGCTGTTTTTTTGTTTTTGAGATGGAGTCTTGCTCTGTTGCCCAGGCTGGAGTGCAGTGGTGTGATCTCTGCTCACTGCAATCTCTGCCTCCCAGGGTCAAGTGATTCTCCTGCCTCAGCCTTCCGATTAGCTGGGATTACCAATGCCCACCACCACACCAGGCTAATTTTTTGTATTTTGAGTAGAGATGGGGTTTCACCATGTCGGCCAGGCTGGTGTCGAAATCCCGACCTCAAGTGACCCTCCCACCTCGGCCTCCCAAAGTACTGAGATTACAGGTGTGAGCCACTGTGCCTGGCTGCTATTGCTGTTTTTGTTACATATTATTGTCGTTATCATTTTCCTCATCGTGAAGTGGATATCACAGGACGCCAGGAGACAAAACGAGTTCCGGGGTCTCACCCACTCCCTCTCTGTTCCCTTTGAGGTGCAATGCCAAGGGTTGCTGCTCAGGAATGACGGTCTGCAGCCCTGTGTCTGAAGGTGGGTTGTTGAGCTGTCTGAAGGGGGGTCCTGGGTCGGGAGCTGGACTGGCTCATTCAGTGATGGGTACATGCGGAAAAGTTTTTTGCACAGCCAAGCTCTTCAAGAACAACCGGGAAACCACTCAGTGTTAGGGCTGGAGAGGAAGGTGGGGAGTGGTTGCTCTGACCCTCTGTGTGTGGGGGAGGGGCAGGACAGGGTTGGGAGCTTGTGGTGTCATCCAGTCACTCCTCTTACCTCGTTTGGGACATGAGGGGCATGATTCTATTTATTCTTTTACAGAAACATAAAAAGATGTGAACATGAATCTAAAGAAAGTGGGGCTTTTAGCAGGAGATGTTTAGATACGCTTTCTCCTTCGTTGCCAATATTCAGCCCATCTCTGGGAAGGTACCCTTAGATCTTAGTGTGACTCTTATCTGCTTCTAGTGAAAAGAGAAAATCATTCCATAGCGGTGTCAGGTGGTCCCAGGCCCAGAATAGGATTCTCCCCAGGGATTTTCCTAAGAGCTTCTCCACCTGAGCACTGTGCCTGCAGAGGTGTGTAACTGTGGGCCACCCTGCTGCCTGGGGAGCATTTGAAGTAGCACAGAAGAGGCTCCAAGGGCCTAGATTTCCTAGAATTCAAAATTCTGAGGATGAGCCCAGGTCATCTGTGAGATGTCAGATGTCCTGCGTTGGGGAGACATTGTACTCCTTTGAATGGACTTCCGATTGAGCAACTCAGCCGCTGGAGGCGAGGGAACCACTTGCATGTGGTGGAAGCTACCACAGCTTGAGAATAATCCAGGGTGAAAATAAGGAGCCCCGGGGCACCATGGGAGTTCCTGGTTACTTGGGGTTGAGGCAATGGAAATCCCATTGTCCTAGGAGTTAGGAGACCCGGGTCTGTCTGGAAGAGACCCCGGATAAGCCACTTCACCTTTGTGGGATCTCGGTGATTTTGCTCAGTGGCCAACACACAATAGGTGCTCAGTTATGTTTGCAAAACCTCACTGATCTGTAAATAATGTCTGTCTGCTTATCTAAGAGTTTCGGTGGAATGATATATATATGGAAATGCTTAGAAATAAAAAGCACTGTGGAATCTTAAGGTGTTAGCCTAGTCATATCGGGGGAAGAAGGAAGGAAGGAACATTTCCTGGGGATCCACCGTGGTGCTGGGGCAGGTATTCCTACAGAGTGTTTCTCTGAATTCTTCCAGCAGTTATTCAAACTCAGGATGATTATTCCCATTCCTGCAGGTGGGTCCACTGAGCCTCAAAGGTAAAATAATTCTCTCCAGGTTTCATATCCTGTGAGGGGTCAGAGCTGGGGTTTGAGTCATTCTGCTTTAGGACATGCGGCTATTTCCAAGAGCCTGGCTTCAAGAGGGAGACGATATAGCCATTGGAGATAGAGATCACCCAGGCAGCGATATCAAGAATTCGAAGGCTGCCTGAGGCAGGGTGCGGTAGCTTACACCTATAATCCCAGCACTTTGGGAGACCGAGGTGGGTGGATCACTTGAGGTCAGGAGTTCCAGACCAGTCTGGGCAACATGGTGAAACCCATTTCTACAAAAAAAATTCAAAAATTAGCTGGACATGGTGGCGCATGCCTATAGTCCTAGCTACTTGGGAGGCTGAGTTGGGAGGGTCACCTGAGCCTGGGAGTTTGAGGGTGCAGTGAGCTATCATCACACCACTGCACTCCAGCCTGGGCTACAGAGTGAGACCCTGTCTTAGAAGGGTAAAAAAAAAAAAAAAAGAATTCAAAGCTAGGTGTAGGGGTGTGTGCCTATAATCCTAGCTACTCAGGAAGCCAAGGCAGGAGGATTGCTTGAGCCCAGGAGTTTGAGATCTGCGTGGGCAACATAGGAGAGGGCTGGGTACTGTGGTGTGTGCCAGCAATCCCAGCTGTATGGGAGGATTGCTTGAGCCCAGGAGTTCAAGAATAGCCTGTGCAACCTAGAGAGACCTCTTCTCTAAAAAAAATTAATAATTCAGAACCTGGGGGTGCCTAGAAAGGAGCTGGGCAGGCCCCAGAAAAGTGCAAGGACTGGTTGTAACTAGACAAGAGTGGCACAAACACTGAACACCTCCTCAGAGGCAGTTTATCCAGGCTACTGCCCACATCTTCCACCAGCCCAGAGCTGGGCTGGGCTGGACTGGGCTGGCTGCCCAAAGCCCTGCCCTCCTCACCTCTGCACTTGCCACCCCCAACCTGGCCTTTCTGATCACCTCCTCCTGCCTTTACCACTCCTGCTGAGTTCTGTCATTTGAGTCCCCTAATTTAATAGGTTTGTCTCATTATTTTGATTAATCATATTAACTCATGTTAATTAAGAGAGAGATTTAAGCATTGACAGAGGTTAATGGAATCAGCCCCTGTTCTTCTCTGGCTTTTGTTGGGGGTGCTGACAGGCGTTGGAGGAAGAAGAGGGACAAATGGGAAATGGAGCACCGGCAGGGAAAAGTCCGGGAAAATCCAGGGATTTTGCAGAGAATGAGAGGGAGAGAAAGGTATTGAGGAAATGATCAGTTACCAATCAGAGTTTCCTTCTAATTGAATGTCTGATTTTATTAATGATAGAATTTATAAAGGTCCTTAAGAAAAGAAAAGAATTTAGTCAGTTCAGCAGTTAACTGTGAAAATTAATGCAGAGGATATAAGTTAAAATGGCCATTTTATTTGTCTTCCTTTTTTTTTTTTCCTGGTGGTGGGGGATGAACCTGGGCCCATCACCTCTGAGGTCTTTTGCATTTCTGGGCTCTCTTTATTTGGCTCAGAAGAAGCAGGTAGATGGTTCCAGGGCCTCAACTTGACACTATTAAGGACAAAAACCACACCTATCTCTGTGAGGTCCTCTTTCCAGAGGAGGAAGCTGAGGCTCAGAGATGTTTGGTCACTTGTCCCAGGCTTCACAGCTTGAGAGCCGTGGCTCCAGGATTCCCACCAGGCCCCGACTCCCATGTCAGTGAGGTTGGTAATGACCGTGAGCCTTTTCTCCCAACTCTGGAAGCCAGTGTCCCCGCAATTGGCTTGTACGGTTGGGAGAAAACTTTGAGACCAGGAGTCACCTCTATCTGATCACAATGCCATCGGTTCTAGAGAAGAACTGTGACATCCTGGCATGGGACCCATTGGAAAGGACCTTCATGTGGAGAAGAAGGGAGGAGGGAGCAGCCGACGTGGCAGCACAGCTCTTGCCAGGTTGAGGTTTCCAGAGCTGGCCTCACCCCAGTGACGAGTGCCTCTCTCCTCATCTTCCAAGTTGTCTTGGGGATGAGAATTCCTGCTGTTGTGGGTTGAATTGTGTTCTTCCAAAAAGATATGCTGAAGTCCTAACCCCTGGTACCTGTGTGACTTTATCTGAAAACAGGGTCTTTGCAGGTGTAATCAAGTTAAAGTCATACTGAATTAGAGTGGCCCTAATCCAGTATGACTGGTGTCCTTATAAGAAGAGGAGAAAAGGCCGGGCTCGGTGGCTTATGCCTGTAATCCCAGCATTTTGGGAGGCTGAGATGAGCAGATCACCTGAGGTCGGGAATTCAAGACCAGCCTGGCCAATATGGTGAAACCCCGTCTCTACTAAAAATACAAGAAATTACCCAGGTGTGGTGGTGGGTGCCTGTAATCCCAGCTACTCGGGAGACTGAGGCAGAAGAATTGCTTGAACCCGGGAGGCAGAGGTTACAGTAAGCCAAGATCGTGCCACTGCACTCCAGCCTGGGCAACAGAGGGAAGACAACCATGTGAAGAGGGAGGCAGAGATTGGAGTGATGATGCTACAAGCCAAGCCAAGGAATGCCTGGGGCTACAAGAAGCTGGAAGAGATAAGAGAAGGCTCCCTTACTAGAGAGTTCAAAGAGCATAGCCCTACTGACACCTTGATTTTGGACTTCTAGCTTCTGGAAGTGTGAGAGGATACATTGCTGTCATTTTAAGCCACTTGGTTTGTGGTACTTTGTTACAGGAGCCCTAGGAAACGAATACACCTGCAAAGGCTTCACTGGGTCTGAAACTCCTTTACTTGCTGACTGGTGCTTCTTTAGCTTAGGTTTTGATCCCTATTAAAATGCAGCAAACAACTGGACATGGGGGCTCACGCCTGTTATCCCAGCACTCTGGGAGTCCGAGGCAGGAGGTTCACTTGAGGCCAGGAGTTTGAGACCAGTCTGGGCACCATAGTGAGACCACATCTCTACAAAAAATGAAAAATTAGCCAGGTATGATGGCATGTGCCTGTGGTCCCAGCCACTCAGGAGGCTGAGGCAGGAGGATTGCTTGAGCCCAGGAGGTCAAGGCTACAGTGAGCTATGATTGTGTCCCTGCACTACAACCTGGCCCACAGAGTCAGACCCTGTCTCTTCTTTTAAAAAAGCAGAAAATGTACTTTAGGTTGTTGTCTGTTCTTTACAGATAATTGGAAAGAGAGTGTGAGGTGCCTGGCATGTCTTGAGTGAGTGCCAACCTTGATCCAAGCTTGCCTTGGACAGTGTGTCCTGCACCCCTGACCCTATTGCTTGAACATCTAGATCCCAAACCTGTGAGTCTTTTTCCTGGGCCAATAATTTCAGAGTCCTATCTACTTTTTTCTTAGACCCTTGGGATGTACATAAATTCTCTATGGCTTGTAAACTAATTCTTACTAAGGTATCAGTGGCTCCCTGAGTCTACCATTACATATGAGAAGCTGCAGAGTTTACTTTAGGGGTTCTACTCCTTTCCCCTGCCACACTCATGGCAGACATCACTAAGAGGTCTCACAAGCTTTCTGTTAAGCCTGTGAGTGGCCTCAAAGTTCTGGACGCTAATTGATTAGTGTTAGTACTTCAAGATTCATTCATTCACTCAGTAAATGTTTGGGGAGTGATTACTAGTGACAACCTTGGTGCCAGGCACCGGAGATATAGTGGTGAACAACACAGATCACCCTGTAGTCTGGAGTAAACTTTTTGGGCCATTCCTGACTTAGTGAGAAGACCACTTACCTGGAATCAGAAATTCCACTGCCTGGACAATGCACTTGTCTGGTGTCAGTTTCATCATCTGTAAAATGAGGTTGAGCTAGATTACTTCCCATGTTTCTTTCCATATCTAAATTCAAAACTCTACATCTGAAAAGCAGACTGAAGACCTAGTATCTCAACCAACACCCACATCTCTGCTGGTTAGAGCTATAGGCAGATAGTGGTCATTTCGGAACAGCAGAGGCTTTTGGCAAAAACCTTCAACTGCATCCAGACAAAGCAGTGACTTCTCCACCTGGGGATGAGCTCCCTGAATCAGGCAGGCAGCCCCTTTCCTCAGAGGTGAGGGATAGGCACACAAGAGGGAACTCTGTGTATGAGGTGAACTTGGGGACAAATTAGTTCTCAGCTTCAACAAAATCAACTGAGCAGGTAGAACCAGAGAAGATACAATTTAGCAAAACCTTATGTGAAAAACATTTAGGGGCTGCTGCAATATGAAGCCATTAAGATCTTAACCTGCACTAACAGAAACAGTGTCCTAGATGAAGAAAGTGAGGGTCATTTGATCTCCTATGCAGTTCCTAGAATATTATCTTCATTTCTGAATCTCAGGTTTTAAAAGAAAAGGGTGGGCTGTGAGTTAACAATTAGGTGTCTTAATACAAGTATTTGTCACTTAACAGCCATTATTTCATTTTAATCCTAACAACAATGCAATAACCTAAGACAATTATCCCTTCACCCCTCCCCATTTCAAAGATGGGGAAATTGAAATTAAGCTAGTCCTCAAGGTCTCTTACCTATTTGGTGGTGGAGGCCGGACTGGAATTCAGGTTCATCTGACTCCAGAGCCCATGGTCTTTCTGTAGATAATCATGGCCTTGGGAATGTGAACAAGGAGGGATGTCAGACTTCAGCCTGGTCTTAAAGGCGAGAAAAGACAGAAAAAAGTGTGTGGGGTGAGGGTGGGGAGTGGGGAGGAGCAGGACATAGCAGGGAGAAAGGAAAGTGAGTAGAGGCTTAGAGATAAGAATCTAGGGCCAGGTGTGGTGGCTCACACCTATAATCCCAGCATTTTGGGAGGCTGAGGCAGGCAGATCATGAAGTCAGGGGTTTGAGACCAGCCTGACCAACATGGAGAAATCCTGTCTCTACTAAAGATACAAAAAATTAGCTGGGTGTGGTAGCACCCACCTGTAATCCCAGCTACTCGGGAGGCCGAGACAGGAGAATTGCTTGAACCCGGGTAGTGGAGGTTGCAGTGAGCAGAGATCACGCCATTGCACTCCAGCCTGGGTGACAGGGCAAGACTCCATCTCAAATTAAAAAAAAAAAAAGAATCTAGGAGGAGGTAAGAAGACTCACATTATTTGTGCATGGTAGAGGCAGTAGATAAGGGTGGGCAAGTTTTTGGTTTTGTTTTTTGAGATAGAGTATTGCTCTGTCACCCAGGCTGAAGTGCAGTGGTGTGATCTTGGCTCACTGAAACCTCAACCTCTCAGGCTCAAGTGATCTTCCCACCTCAGCCTCCTGAGTAGCTGGGACCACAGGTGTGCACCACCATACCTGGCTAAGTTTTTTTTAGAGACGGGGTTTTGCCATGTTGCCTAGGTTGGTCTCTACCTCCTGGGCTCAAGTGATCCACCTGACTCAGTCTCCCAAAGTGCTGGGATTATAGGCGTGAGCCACTGTGTCCGTCCAGTGGGTGGGTTTAGTCCAGATTACAGTAGGCTTAGAATGCTGGGTTAGGGACTATAGACTTTACCACATATATAATGGGAAGGTTGTAAAGATTGAATACTGCTTGGGGTTGGAGTGTCATAGTGAGGGCTGAGCTTCAGGAAGATTATTTATTGATCACATCTGTGGTGGGTAGGTAGGAGCAAAGAAGGGTACTACCCAGTAGGCTACGATAAGCAGAAAGTAATATGACAGAAATAAAAGAGATGGTTAAATTGCCCGTGCTTGCAATATTTCCTCCTCTCTTCATTTTCCAAGCAGGAATTATTCTTCCTGTAAACCATTAATTGTCTATTAAATAAATAAAACAGCTTTATATTTACCTAAATACCTACCATTTCCAGCAATCTTCAATTTCTCTCTATAGTTCTGAGTTTCCTTCTGGTATCATTTTCCTTTAGCCTGTAAAATTCCTTTGACTGTCCTTGCAGTGTAGGTAAGCTTTGTTTGGCTGAAAAAAATCTTTATTTGTTCTTTGTTTTTGAAAGCTATTTTCACTGGATGTAGAATTTGAACTCTAGGCTGGCAATTTTTGTTTTCTTTCAGCACTTAAATATGTCACACCATTGTCTTCTGACTTGCAGTGTTTTAAACAGGAAGTCTATCATCATTCTTATCTTTGTCCTCCTGTATGTAATAGATCTTTTTTGTCTGGCTGCTTTTAACATTTTTCTCTTTACTCCTGATTTTCAGATATTTGATTATAATGTGCTTTAGTGCTATTCATTGTGCTGTTCATTGTGTTTGCCCCACTTGGGGTTTACTTAGCTTCTTGGATTTGTGGGCATATAATTTCCATCACATTTGGAAATTTTCTTCAAATATGTTTTCCCCTCCCAATTTCTGGGATTTCAAGTATTTGCATATTAGACTGTAGCTGGTATTTTCCCACAGATCATTAAACTCTGTATGTGTATGTGTGTGTGTGTATATATATATTATATATAAAATGTATATTAGGACTTTTATTCTTTTTTAATTCTTAAATTTATTTACTTATTTATTTTTCGAAATGGAGTCTCACTCTGTCGCTTAGGCTGGAGTGCAGTAGCATGATCTTGGCTTACTGCAACCTCTGCCTCCTGAGTTCAAGTGATTCTTCTGCCTCAGGCTACGGCATAGCTGGGATTACAGGCACACATCACCATACCCGGCAAATTTTTGTATTTTTTAGTAGAGATGGGGTTTTACCATGTTGACCAGGCTGGTCTTGAACTCCTGACCTCAGGTGATCTGCCTGCCTCCTGAGTTCACGCCCAGGAGACATGTGAAACATACCTCCTACAACATGATGCCGCAGAACAGCTACTCTGATTTAGTATCTTTTTTGACTGAGTTACAGAGCACAGTTTCCAGGGTTGGGGATGTTAATCCTGCCTCCCTGCTTTGTCTCTGAGCCACTCATGATGCCTCCTGTGGGTTGAGGCATGAATAAGCCTTTTGCCAGGAAACTCAGGATGGTAAGGAAGCTGGTTGCCACCTTCCCCTCACGTTTCCAATGTAGAAACCATGATTTGGGGAAGATTTTTCACAGGCTTAGTGCCACACAGAATGTGGGGAGGGGCATCAAGATATGGAAAATTCCATTCTCTTACAGTCTGCTCTGAGTTTTTTTTTCACTTCTCTGTAGCCCCCCAGAAATGACTCATAATTCTGGGATATTGCTGGTAATAATCTCAGCACTGTATATTTGTTTCGGTTTTTCTGTTGTGGGGAGTGAAGTCAGCCTGTGTCTACACTGCCATTTTAGAACCAGAAGTCTCTAGAACCTTTATTCTTTATCTGCTTCAATTTGTGTAGTTTCTAATGCTATATGTTTAATTACTTAATTGCTATATATTTTCAATTTTTTATTTTTCAGTGTCTAATATGCTAAAAAGCCATTCAATAGATTTTTTATTTCAAATATTATATTTTTTAGTTCTAAATGTTCCATTTAATTCTTTTTCATATCTTTCATTTCTCTTCTCATTATATTCATGTTTTCCTTTAAATATTTGAGGATATTTATAATATATGTTTTTAGCTGTTTAAACGTTAAAGGTTTTGTCTGTTAATGGTTTGTTTCTTCATTTCTTTGTCTCTTTCTCTTGACTTTTTCTCTCCTTCCGGTTATTGGTCTCATTCTTGCTTCATTGAATGTCTTGTAATTTTTGGATGGGTGCTAGGCATTTTCGATGTTACATTATTGAATGTCTAGATTTTGTTGTCTTCCTTTAAAGAGAAAAAAAGTTTGTTTTAGTTGATTGTCACGTTTCTTTGAATCAACTTGATCCTTTTTAGGCTTCTTTTTAAGCTTTGTTAGGATGGGTGTAGAGTAGCCTTTACTTGAGACTGGTTTACCCATATTATTAAGGGATTACCCCATAGGGTCTTTAGGGAGACACTGAGGTCTCCCTGTTCTGGCTAGCTGGGAATTGACAACTCCCTGTACTATGTGATGAACAGTCTCAAGGAGGACTCTAAAGCATATTTCTGGAGTTCTTTCTCTGCATATTCCCTTATCTTTGATACTCTGCCCTTCAAATTCCAGCCACCTCAGCCTCCTTAAACTCAAATCTCAGTTTCCTGAATTCAGCAATATTGTTCTTTTTTGCTTGGATACTCTGTCTCTGCACTACGATCTGGAAAATAAATCCAAGCAGAAAACTGGAGTGATTGTTTTCTTTCTCATTCCTGTGAGTGTGTTATCTAAAGCCTGAAATTAGCTATTTCATATATTTTTAATTTTTTAACTGGTTTTTGGCAAGAGGATAAGTTGCATATAAGTTAATTCATTGTGGTCATCTAAGTCACTGAACCTACTTTTGTCATCTGTAAAATGGGTATAATGATCACCACTGACTTTGGAGAGTTGTTGTGAAGCTTAGAACCCCCTCTATGAACAATTGCTACATGAATGCTCTTTAACCTCATGACTTCCTAAAGCTGTCCATAGTTAGCCCCACATCTCTAGCTCTGCTTCTTCAGGGACTGGAAGTGAGAAACTTGCAATGTGGCAGAAAGCATTGTAGTTTCCATGAGGACTTTTGAGGGCCTCAACTTGGGCTCTAATGCAGAAATGTCTCTTAAACTTCAGGGTCCACATTGCTTCAGTTGACAAGAGATTACATGACCCATCTGTCTACTCTATCCAAATTTCCAGTTACTGCTAAGGGAATATAAAAGGAAAGCTGGGAAGAAAGACACTGCCTCATATGAAATGTCTTGTTATCATCTGTGCTACTGTGCTATAATAAGAAATATATATTTCTGTCTTTGTCTCTGGTTCCTGGTGCAGAGTTCCTAAGTGATAGAGGTAAGAGGAATGTCTTTTGTTTTCATAATAAGACCCTTTCAATCATGTTGAGTTTATGCTAATGAGGTGACTGTGTTGGAGGATGAGGACTGGTTGCCAGGGGAACCAACCGTGTGATTAAAGGGCTGGAACTTTCAGGTCCACTCCGTTGACCTCCAGGGAGAAGAGAGGGGCTGAAGATTGATAATCACCAATTATCAATGATTTAATCAATCATTCCTATATAATAAGGCCTCCATAAAAACCCTGAATAATGGGGTTCAGAGAACTTCCATGTTGCTGAAGTGAGATGCTGGGAGGATGGCATGCCTGGAGAGGGCATGGAAGCTCTGTGCCCCTTCCCCATGCCTTGCCCTATGCATCTCTTCCATTAGGCTGTTCCTGAGTTGTATCCTTTATACTAAACTGGTACTAAGTAGTGTTTCCCTGAATCCTGTGAGCTGTTACAGCAAATTATCAAATGTGAGGAGAGGATCATGGGAACCCCTGATTTATATTCAACTTAGGCAGAAGTGTGGGAACCCTGAAGACTTGCTGCTTGCAATTAGCCTTTGAAGTGGAGGCAGTCTTGTGGGACTGAGCCCTTGCCTGTGAGGTCTGTGCTAACTCCAGGTAGTTAGTGTAAGAATAGAGTTAAATTGTAGGATACCCAGTTGGTGTCTGCAAAGAACTGGAGAATTGCTTGGTGTAGATAACTCATACATTTGGTGTCAGAAGTGTTGACAGTGTAGAAAAACAGTGTTTTCCTTTATCATCCATTGCAGAAACAGAAGTGTGGTACTATTGTTTTATAGTCCTTGCCACTTCAAAGGACGAGTCTGTCTGGAAGACCCTCACAGCAGCCCCTAAGACAGTATTCGAGAATTCTTCCTCTATATGATACGTTTTAGGGCACAGATTTAGCCTCTTTCTTCCATCATAGTATCTGACTCCAAGTAGACGGTCAGAAAATGCCTGTGGAATTATGAATCATGCTTCTGCAGCTCTCTCAAGTGTCCCCACCCTTGCCTACTTTATCTTAAAGATGACTGTGTTCTCATGGACACAGGAAGGGGAACATCACACACCGGGGTGTGTCGTGGGGCGGGGGGAGGGGGGAGGGATAGCATTAGGAGATATACCTAATGCTAAATGACGAGTTAATGGGTGCAGCACACCAACATGGCACATGTATACGTATGTAACAAACCTGCACGTTGTGCACATGTACCCTAAAACTTAAAGTATAATAATAATAAAATAAAATAAAATAAAAAGATGACTGTGTTCTAAAACTTTCTGCCCACATCATAGCCTTTTACAGATAGTATGAAAGCATCTCCACATTGAAGAAAACCAGCACCAGCACATGGCAAAGTGCTTGCGAAGGATGGGGCAGAAGAAAGGAGCTGGTGACATTTTCAGTGGTTTCGTTTGCATCCATCAAGTGAAGACATGTGACTAGGTGTTGTTGCAGTCTGGTTTAATAGTTAGGAATATGAACCCAGAGGAGGCACTGAAGGTCTTTCGGCCCCGGCTGGACTTGTCATTGCATGTGTTGCTCTCCACTTTCCCTTCGTAGCACTTTTCAGTTTGTAATTGTAGCAGGATGATGTTCTCTTCTCCTGTACCTCTTCATCCCTGTGAGTATTAGCATTCATCCCATCCTCACTTGTGAGTATTAGCAAGAGAAAGCTCTGTCTTATAGTTGATTCACACTGAAGACTCTAAAAGGCAAACGCTCTGTCTTATAGTTGATTCACACTGAAGACTGTAAAAGGCAAATTCATCTCCTGTTGTGAGGTTCCACTTTCGCCTTCCAGATGGAGCAAGGAACTCTGGTGGGAAGTGATGGGGTGGAGTGGATAAGACAAGGGAACAAAGACAGGAGCCAGGAATAAGAGACACCCAGGGGCCCATCTAAGGTAGAGTTTGTGTGAGATGAAAGACAAGCTAATGGGGAAAGGGAATAAACATTTGGCAGCATTCTCTGAGTGTGTGTTTGGAATTAGTTAAATCAGTGGTTCTCAACCTTGATCATACATTTAATTCACCTGGGTATCTTTTATAAAATACTGATATCCTCCAAATATTCTGATTTGTTGGTCTGAGATGGAGCTTTGGCATCCATATTTTAAAAAACACCCAGGTGATTCTAAATGTAGCCATTATTGAGAATCACTGCACTAAATAGTAACATGGTTTTCTTTTGTCGCTATGGATTCCGAAAATCAGTCACGACTGGACCTTAGTGGCAAAATGTAGATTTTTGAGTGGAGGAGGGTGACTTGCAAATCACGAATGAGTGGAAAGAAGGCATATTTATGGCTGAGGTACCCCAAACTCCTGGGTTTACATTCCTGCCAAGAGCTTAGCACAGGGGGACCCGGGTTGAAGTCTTAGCTCTTTCACTTGTCAGCTGTGTAGCCTGGTCAAGTCACTTAATCTCTCTGAGCTTTACTTTCAGCATCAAAGAGAGAATAAAGGAATGGTCCAGCCAAGGAGGCAAGAGGGTGTGGATTCTGTAGCCAGGTTGTCCTGACACTTATAAGCCATGTAACCTGGGCAAATCCCTTAACCACTCTGAGACTATGTTTTTCTCACCTGTGAAATGAGGATAATAATACTCAAAGTGTTGTCATAGGAGTAAGTAGATTACTTTACGTAAAGCACTTAGAATAGTAACTGGCACATATCAGATGTTAGCCAGACAGTCAGTCATAATTTCCTGATTCCTGCTAGAACTACCCGGATGCATCTCCCTCCCTCTATGTCCCAACATGTTTGGGTAGAGAGCACTTCCTTTCTCTGGATTCCAGTAATTTATTTGTCTAGTTTTTCAAATAGGCAATTAATATATATTTACAAATTAAAAGTTATGGCTATGGAAATACTTGCTCAGTTGGCCTTGGAAGATCACCACATATTCTCAGAGTATTGGTTGTTTTGCCTTAATAGTGACGGTGGTGAACAAACAGCCTGCCATCTGAGAATGGGTGCTGCCAACCCTGGAGGCATTTTGTAGGTGTTTCCCTTCAAATGCGCTTCCCAACAAATGCACCTCTTCATTTTCTCTTTCATATGGGGAAGCTGAAGAGGATGCTACAGGGGAAGAATACTAGGAGCTACCTAAAAGCTACAAGGATGACAGCTCTGATGAATCCAGTGTTATAAAGGATGAGTACAAGAGAGACAGAGACGAGTGTTGTCATGGGATTGGTTACAGTTGCTTTCCTGAATACTTCCTCCATTATTCTGGTAACAACACCCTGATTTTCCTCTGGAAAACCACCCCCACCCCCGACCCCAGCTCCAGAGGAAGGAGACATGAATAAACCACAATTGGTAATCAGAATATTTCATCTTGCCTATCACAGTGACTGGCTCAAGGGTGGGCACATGACTCAAGTTCATCCAAGGAAACTCATTTTCATTTGGTTTAGTTTGGTTTGTAAGAACCTCTCTTGCCCCAGTGGTTGCTGTGCTGGTTTAATGTAAACCTGAACTCCCGGTGGCCATTTTTGCCACAACGTGGGGAAAGTCAGCTGTAAAAATACAGTCAACACAGGGAAACCAGAGGAAAGATTTGAAAATGGATGGGCAGAATGCTGACGATGAGGCTACAGTCCCGGATCCAGCTGTGCCTGAATGCTTTGTCGATAAGCCAATAAATTTCCTTTGGGCTTGAACTGCTTGAGTTGGATTTCTGTCATTTGCAACTGAAAGAGTTGTGATTACTAAGGTACCTCACAAAGGAAGAGCTATGGTGGGTGATTGGAAAGTGCACACAAATAGGGTCCAGAAGGCTGAAGACCAGGAAGGGATGAAGCTGATAGAAAACTAAATGCAACCCTTGTTTGTTCATTTAGCAATTGTGTTTTTAGGCCCTCATTCGGCAACAAGCAACAGAAACTCACTCAAATTTTCTTGAGAGAGAGAGAGCCCTGAGAGAATACAATGCAATTTCACAACACCTAAGCCCTTTTCTGCCACAGAGCCTTTGCATTTACTGTTTGCTTTGCCTAGAAGACTTTTCCTGCCAGCTCTTGACATAACTGACTCATTCTTACCGCTAATGTCCCAGGAAAAATTGTCTTCTTTTCAGTGAGTACCCTAACCCCTATCCAATGCAGGCCATCCTCATGCCCGCCTCTGATTACTCACCATCACATTTCCCTGTTTCTTTTCTTTTTATCACTTCTCATGATCTAAAATGACCTAGTCCATTTATTTTGTACCTATCAGTGGTCTGTCTTACACATTGGAACATAACCTCATGTGATGGCAACCTTGTCTCTTTGTGTCTGCTACTTTGTCTCCCTCATCCAGTACACTGCCCGGCACGTAGTGGGTCCTCAATAAATATTTGTGGAATGAACTAATGAACCAACAGCAGGGAGTGCAGCTGGACCTTCTGAGATACTGGAGCTGGCAAGTAGAATGCTGATGGGAATCAAAGCAGCCATGTTCTCTAGAGATTCTACACACACACACACACACACACACACACACACACACACACACACACTCACTCTCTCTCTCTCTCTCTCTCTCTGCTTCCTTCTTAGTGCTAATTCTTTTTCCTCTCCCTGCAGCCCAGCATTTTCCACGTCTCCCCATGCACAGTACCGTACACAGTAGAATCAGCCTCCCTAGGCAGCCTGACTTCACCTCTCCATTCTGGCATCCAGTTCGGCGTCTGAGCGGTGGCCGTGCCCCTTGCTTCTTTCCTCTCCTTAGCTGCTGTGCAGGGACGCACCGTTCAGATCTGGGGACTAGGGGAGTTTGCTCCACAAAACCTCGCTGGCCACCCAGGCTTGGCTAGTCACTGGGGCAAGTGGGAAGACTTCTCTGTAGACGTCTGGGAGATTCATGTGTGTTACCCAAGGGTGCATTCATGTGTGTTTCCCAACCCTTCCTGGAAGAGCTCCTCCTAGGAAGAGGACGAATAGGGGCTACCTCTGCTGGGCACCTCGTCTGAGGCAGACACTGCAGAGGAGCTGTGTTCTCACTTCTGTCCCCGTTCATCCTCGTAGTGATCCCACAGCCATGCCTGCTTAGCCCCACCGTATAGATGGTTGGTGTGAGGCTTTTTATGTTTTTGAGGGTGGTTTTTTAATGCAGGAAATAGTTATTTAGGGTTTTCAGTATTAATGTGCCATAAACCAACATTGTACTTTAAAAGTTATAATTTTTTGTAGGATTTTTTTCATTAAAAAAATTGTCCTTAAAAAAACGCCCACACAATCCATTTACCATCCTAACCATTTTCAAGTGTGCAGTTCAGTAGTGTTAAGCATATTCACATCGTCGTGCAGCAAAACACCAGCACTTTTTTATTTTGCAAAACTGCAACCCTGCACCCACTCAACTGCAACCCCGACCCATTCAACTCCCAGTTCTTCTTCCCTCCAGCTTCTGCTAACCACCATTCTACTTTCTGCCTCTATGAATCTGACTACCTTAGAGATGTCATTGAAGTGGAATCATCCAGTCTTTGTCTTTTTGTGACTGGCTTATTTCACTTAATGTAATGTCCTCAGTGTTCATCCATGTCATAACGTGTTGGAATCTTTTGGTAGGCTTTTAAGATCAGCTTACATTATTCTATTTGTAAGTCAGTTGATAAATCTTGTTACCCTCATTTTAGCAATGATTTTAAGGAGCCCTTGAATTCTATTTTGTCCCACTTAAAAATTCAGCTCATTAAATACTTTCAGGTATTTTAAACTCTATTTATAAATGTAACATATTTTATTTCCTTAAGTACTTTGATATCCTGACTTAATAAATAAAACCTTTTCAAGTACTGAAATAATTATCAAAAATTTATGAAATTAAAGTAATAAAGTGAGCATAAAGTTCTCTTAAATGTTCCAACACCATACAATGTAAAATCCCAAATCTTAATTCTTTAATTTCACATTGCAAATTAGAGTTGAAAGCTATTACTCTTAAAGGCCAAAATCCTTTAAACTTTCCAAGTATGTAGCACTTCAAAATTTTACAGATTCAGGCTGGGTGCAGTGGCTCATGCCTGTAATCCTAGCACTTTGGGAGGCTGAGGTGGGCGGATCACTTGAGGTCAGGAGTTCAAGACCAGCCTGGCCAACATGGTGAAACCCCATCTCTACTACAAATACAAAGATTAGCTAGGCACACTGGCATGTGCCTGTAATCCCAGCTACTCAGTAGGCTGAGGCAGGAGAATCGTTTGAACCCAGGAGGCAGAGGTTGCAGTGAGCCGAGATCACGCCATTGCACTCCAGCCTCAGGGACAAGGGTGAAACTCCATCTCAAAACAAAACAAAATTTTACAGATTCATTAATGCAAAAATATAGTTTTGATTCCCTTAAATGTGTCTCTATTTAATTGTAAATTTTCCTGTAGTTGAACAATGTATCTCTTGGAAGGCAATGACATCCAGTTAGCTAAGGTTACTGACAATGAAGTTATCACCAGGTCCATGCCCTTTTTGGGATACACTAAATCTTTTGATGGTTGCTATAATGTTTATGCTTCCGCAATTCAAAAGGGTTGGTGATGAAGTCTGTTACCTGTATATCCCCATCACGTGGATTCCAGGGAAACCTGCAGCTTCCAATTACGTGTTACAGGATTGCACCTTCTTTTCTTTCAAGTTTTGTGTATATCTTCTTTCCTAGGCAAGAACTTAATGTAATTCTGTATTCATTTTATATCCTTCCTCTCTCACTCTCTTTTTTATATATATATATATTTTATATATATTTATATGTATTTATATATATTTATATATATTTATATATATATTATATATATTTATATATATATTATATATATTTATATATGTTTTATATATATTTATATATATAAGTTCTAGGGTACATGTGCACAACATGCAGGTTTGTTACATATGTATACATGTGCCATGTTGGTGTGCTGTACCCGTTAACTCATCATTTACATTAGGTATTTCTCCTAATGCTATCCCTCCCCCGCCACCCACCCCGCAACAGGCCCCGGTGTGTGATGCTCCCCTTCCTGTGTCCAAGTGTTCTCATTGTTCAGTTCCCACCTATGAGTGAGAACATGCGATTTTTGGTTTTTTGTCCTTGCGATAGTTTGCTGAGAATGATGGTTTCCAGCTTCATCCATGTCCCTACAAAGGACATGAACTCATCATTTTTTATGGCTGCATAGTATTCCATGTTGTATATGTGCCACATTTTCTTAATCCACTCTATCATTGTTGGACATTTGGGTTGGTTTCAAGTCTTTGCTATTGTGAGTAGTGCCGCAGTAAACATACGTGTGCATGTGTCTTTTTAGCAGCATGATTTATATTCCTTTGGGTATATACCCAGTAATGGGATGGCTGGGTCAAATGGTATTTCTAGTTCTAGATCCCATATAGACCAATGGAACAGAACAGAGCCCTCAGAAATAATACCACACATCTACAACTATCTGATCTTTGACAAACCTGACAAAACCAAGAAATTGGGAAAGGATTCCCTATTTAACAAATGGTGCTGGGAAAACTGGCTAGCCATATGTAGAAAGCTGAAACTGGATCCTTTCCTTACACCTTATACAAAAATTAATTCAAGATGGATTAAAGACTTAAATGTTAGACCTAAAACCATAAAAACCCTAGAAGAAAACCTAGGCAATACCATTCAGGACATAGGCATGGGCAAGGTCATGTTTTTTTTTGTTTTGTTTTGTTTTTTTTCCAGACGGGGTCTTACTCTGTCACCCAGGCTGGAGTGCAGTGGTAAGATCATAGCTTATTCTAGCCCTGACTTCCTGGGCTCAAGTGATCCTCCCACTTCAGCCTCCTGAGAAGCTAGCACTACAGGCATGCCACCACACCTGGCTAATTTATTTAGTTATTTTTTGTTGAGATGGGGTCTCCTTGTGTTGCTGAGGTTAGTCTTGAACTCCTGGCCTCAAGAGATTCTCCTACCCTCAGCTCCTGAATAGTTGGGACTACAGGCACACACCACCATGCTCAGCTAATTTTTTAATTTTTTTAATTTTTTTTTTTTGTAGAGATGGGGGTCTCCCTATGTTGCCCTGGCTGGTCTCAAACTCCTGGCCTCAAACAGTCCTCCTGCCTTGACCTCCCAAAGTGCTAGGATTACAGGCGTGAGTCACTGTGTCTAGCGTCACATTTCTTGAGCCTCTACTAAGTGCCAGATGTTATGCCAAGGGCTGGTTACAATCAGAAGCAGATACAAAGTGTTCCCTGTCCACCTGGAGACTAAGGCAAGGCCTTGATGAGATGGTTATTCAAATCCCTCTACTAAAGAGTTCAGTTAAAGGGTATTTTTGTTTGTTTGTTTCACTGTCTACTCTCCTACTGAACTTAAATACACATACACTTGTACTCATTTCCTGCATCAAATGTGACTCTTCGACCCAAAATGCTCCTTAAGAAGTTTTTTCTTATAAAGTTCCTATGTATTATACCCTCAGATTTTAAGGGCTCATTCGTCAGATAGATAAACACGCACATGAAAGCATGCATGTGTATTCAAAAGGTCTCTTCATGGAAAATAAATGAGGAAGAAATGTCAAGGGAGCCGATCAAACTGGGTATCTTAGTATCTTTAGAGAGAATCCCAGCCACTGACTGCAGATAGATAAGGGAAGAGAAACGTAATGATAAAATAGAAAAGCCTGCAATATTTTACTCTGCTTAAAGCCAGGTGGTGAGTGTGGAATTCCTTTCTGGGGTGAAATTCCTTTATTCCATTTACAAGCCTCTCCACCCTGACATGTGTGTGCACACGTGTACCCAGCTTTGTGTGCGGGTGTCCTTGGTCCCTGGCGTGCACGTGGCTAGTCCTGTCGGCACGCAGCCTCCTGTTGATGTGGGCAGCATCTGCGATCTTCCTAGCCCATCCATATGCATGTGTGTCTATATCCCAGCAGCGGTCGGCATCATTCATTTCCAAAACCAGCATGCATTCATTTTCATAACTTTTTGTTCCATTACAATATTAATGGGACTATCAATGGGAAAGGACAAGAGAAGCATTTTTAATGTTTATCTGACAGTTGCAAATTTCACTTGAGGTTGTTTACTGGGATCTGATTGTTGGCAGAGAGGAGCAGGAGAGGCGGCAAGATTAATGGGATCACAGGAAGAGGAGATGTATTTATGGGCCTTCTGAACACCATCTAAGAGTAATAAAAAGTCCTGCCGCACCCTTCCCCAAGTGAGACTTAAGAAGTTTTAAAGGCTGAGAAATGAGGGATTGTTTTAATTAACTTCCATCTAATCCAAGTGGCCTGTTCAAAGTGAATCGTGCTGCATTTATGTCTCAGTCTATTAAAAATTAGATGGCCCCAGGGGCCAGGCGCGGTGGCTCACGCCTGTAATCCCAGCACTTTGGGAGGCCGAGGCGGGTGGATCACGAGGTCAGGAATTTGAGACCAGCCTGACCAACATGGTGAAACCCCATCTCTACTAAAAATACAAAAATTAGCCGGGTGTGGTGGTGCACGCCTGTAATCCCAGCTACTCAGGAGGCTGAGGCAGGAGAATCTCTTGAACCGGGGAGGCGGAGGTTGCAGTGAGCTGAGATCGTGCCATTGCTCTCCAGCCTGGGCAACAGAGCGAGACTGTCTCCAAAAAAAAAAAAATTAGACGGCTCTCTCCCATCTCCCATCTCTCCCCGCTCTCTCTCTCTCCCCCAGCCTCCACCCCCAAACCCCTGACCCTAGATTTCTATCACTTTGGCTTGCCCTATTTTTTCCCTCTTCCTTAAACAACTCCTGTGCAATCTCAGGGAGAGAGAATCTATCGATGGGGCCATCCATGGGGAGGATGGGAGAAAGGAGAAGCGGATGCCAGAGGTTGCTAGGGGAAGGGAGATGGGCACTAAACCTTGGACAGGAGAGAGGGGATTTGTGCTTCCCCTGAGGCCTTCCCTCTGCTCTTGTCTGCTTAGGCCTATACGTAACAGAGTAGTGGGTCCCAAGAACCCCTGAGAACTTATGGGGGAATAAAGGGATAGAGACGCATGGGTGGACCCATCCCCTTGCCTCCCAGGAAGAGATCTGGCTGTGGGAAGAGACCTTCCCAGGGACACTGGCTTCTCCCGAAAGCTATGGTATCCACTTGACCTCTGAGTCCTCCATCTGCCTAAAAAAGGGTTTCCAGTTAAAATACAGGATATCCAGTTACATTTCAATTTCAGGTCAGCAATGAATAGATACTTGTATAAATATGTCCCAAATATTGCATGGAACTTACTTATACTAAAAAAAATTCTTCATAGTTGATTTGAAATTAAAGTTTAACGGAGTGTCCTGTAGTTTTATTTGCTAAATTTGGCAACTCTATCCGAGAGAAAGTCCTCACCCACTGTAGTTATTATGATTCCAGATTCCGGCATTGCTTTGCCTATGCTTAGATCTTGAGCTACTAGTTACCATTACCTCTCCGACCTCAGTTTCTTCATCTCTTAAATGGGGATAACAATAGTAACAATATTACCTACTTCTAGGAATATGATGAGGATTAAATAAAATTAAATGCACCAAGTCCTTAGAACAGGGGTCATGGTGCCTGTTGCAACTACTTAACTCTGCCAAAGTTAGTGGGACAGTAGCTGGAGACAAAATGTAAACCAGTGAGTGTGGTTGTGTCCCAGCGAAACTCAAATTACAAACACAGGCAGCAGGCCTTATTTGCCCCCAGGCTGAAATTTGCTAAGCCTTGGCTTGAACACAGCATATCATTAAGTGCTTCTTAAGCATTGATCATTATTATTATTCTACATACTTGGGACTCTCCTGACCAGGGCTGGTAGGTAGCATTAATTGAGCAGCAACAAAAAGCTCTTCTTGCTTCTTAAAATACAGGTGTCATCTGCTTACTGATTCCTGAAATTTCACAGTTAGAGATTCAGTCTTGTGTCTACACAGCTCTGGAAGAAGTCACTCCTTAGGCTTTATCCCTTGGCGTGAGGACTATCAGGAGCACAGAGCAGGGTTTAGAGAGCGCTTAAGCTCGGCCAGCCCCACGGACGCAGAATCTGTCACTCATCCTCACATTCATTCCTGGAGGGGCTTGCTGGGATTATGTACATTTTACACCTGAGCAGGCTGGGGTTCCAGAGCATGAGTAACTCCTCCCGGGCCACCCAGGCAGTCAGGGCCAAAGCCGGCCACTGGCTCCTGCCCACAGTTCCTGGGCTTTGCAGGTCAGAGCCAGGCAGGGTCTGCACTCTCCTCGTTTTACCATTTACCAATGTGAAGATGGCTGCTTCTGATTTCTCGGGGACAGGGCTGCAGCATTAACGGTAGAATAAGTCCAAGGTCAGCAGGAAGGGATGAGAGAGATGCGGCCCGAGCAAGAAAATGGTCTTAGAAGAGGGGATAGAAAAATGGGAGGAAAAAAATTCAGAGAATTCTGCTTCACCCAGAGCTGTGCCACTCTCCAGCCTGTCTTCCTTGAACCAGGTGGTGCAGGGAGCGATTGTTTCACCACTTACCTTCCACCTCCAGGCACTGTCTGGAGGGCCAGGGCCCAGCACTGCCAGGTTCTTCTCCAGTCTACACCGCTGGAGCTGGGACAGGTGCACCCAGGTGTTCTACCTCTGCTCACCTCTCCCCAAATCATACTTGCCCAAAATTAAATGCGCCATCTGAAACTGCTGGTGCACACAAGAGGTCTGTGTGCTCCCTACTCCTCCCAAGCCGCACCTCCCACCCAAGCCCCATCTGAACTGGGAGAAGAAGGAGTCTTGATGTCCCCAAAGACATGGCTCCAGAGTCAGACTGGGCTGCCAGTGCCCAAACCAGCTGCAGGACCATGGGTGGACCTCTCCTTGCCTTGGCTTCTTCCTTTGTAAAACAAGGGTGAGAAAACATAATTCTGGAGCTACTGCAGGTTTTAAATAAGAGGATTGAGGCGGAGCCGGGTGGTGAACACATCAAGATGCTGGAAGGGTGGTGTGCCTGGAGAGGGCACGGATGCTTCGTGCACCATCTCCTCCTCCCTATACCTTGCTCTACACATCTCTTCCATGTGGCTGTTCCTGAGTTGTATCTTTTATAATAAACTAGTAAATGTAAGTAAGAGAGAGAGGTAAAGGAATTAACCTACTGCTGAGCACACAGCAGGAGCTGTAGGGCTGGTTCCATGCCCTTTCCTCTTTCACTATAGATGCCACCAGGGCAAGGACCTTACGCTAGGCATCTCCAAGCTTGCCGGCCAGATGCCTTAGCCCCCTGACTTGTTTCCCCACCCAGTAACCCAGCGGAACAAGAAGAGAGGGGTGGGAAAATCTTGTGGGCAGTTCTCCTCTCTGTCACTAATTAGCTATGTGGTCATAGTGATCACTCACTTTCCACCTCAGGTTTTCATCTTTCAAATGGTCATTAAAATATGTTCTCATTTAACAGTGACTCTCTGGAGTCGTTATGGAAGTTCCAACCAAAGCAGAGAGGGGTGAGCAAGTGAGAAATCTAGAATCAGACCTCAAGGTCACACCCACCTCCATCACAGTCCACACTGTGTGCCTCAGCAGCCTCCCGGGAGACACGGCTATAAAAACAGTGCCTAACTCTCAGCACCATGGCAAGGGTGACGCAATGTGTGCAGACAACTTGGTGCAGTGCCTACGAGGGCACTCTCTATGCTGTGTATGGTAGCTGTTATCACGGTTTCATTCATTCAGTTCCTGCCTGGAGACACTTACCACCGGCCAAGCTGTGAGCCAAGTGCATGGTTGTGAACAGAGCCAAGGCAATATCCAGGAGAGGCCCATGCTGTGCAGCTCTCAGACCTACCACCTTTGCATTGCATCTGCTTCAGCTGCCCACGCATCCTCACTGTTGCTTTCAAGCTAGTCCCTTCTCAGTCAGCTCTGGCCTGGACTCCTCAGCAGGAATCACCTCCCTCAAGACCCAGTCTCCTCTCTTGAAAGACTCCTTTGGTGACCAGTGGGTCACAGTCCTGTTTAGGAGAGGAATCCTCAGTGGGAGGTTCCTTTTTACCAAGCACCGCACTCTCCCTGGTAAACCTTCTTCATACCTTAACATCAGCAAGGACACCCACATCCCATTTTTCCTACACACTTCCCTACATCTGCAGTGCTTCACAGGTCATCTCTTGAAACCTTAGTCCCTCCACATCCCCTCAAACGCTGCCACCCCCGTCAATTTCTCCTTTGCCCAGATGCTAATAACATCAAGGGCAGAGTTCTAGTCCTGGCCAGTATCATCTCAGAAGAGAACAGATGGGGGCACGTTGGCTTTCCTTAATTTCTGTGTAAAGTCATGCACATAGGCATGCAATCAGGTTAAGAACAAAACCATCAGCTTAGGTGTAAACAATCTTCTAAATATATATGTGGGGTACTTAGCCCCAAATATACATAGGATCAAAAATTTCAGAGTTGGAAGGGACCTTAAGGATAGTCCTGGTCCCGCGCAATGGCTCAGGCCTGTAATCCCAGCACTTCGGGAGGCCAAGGCAAGTGGATCAGCTGAGGTCAGGAGTTCAAGTCTGGCCAACATGGTGAAACCCTGTCTCTACTAAAAATGCAAAAATTAGCTGGGCATCGTGTTGCATGCCTGTAATCCCAGCTACTCCGGAGGCTGAAGCAGGAGAATCACTCGAACCCTGGAGGCGGAGGTTGCAGTGAGCCAAGATTGCACCATTGCACTCCAGTCTGGGTGACAAGAGTGAAACTCTGTCTCAAAAAAAGAAAAAAAAAAAAAAGGGTAGTCCTGGTCCATTCTGCCCACCCAAAAAAATAAGGATATTGTCTGTAGTGCCCATCATGATCCCAGGACTTCTTCCAGCTTCCAGACCAACACACACAGAGCAGAGTACCTTGTGTTTGTCACTCAGTGCTGTTTACTTGGTGATTTTGGTGGGTCATTTGTCCTGCCTCATCATTAGAGGGTAATGTGCTTAGGGCAGGGTCTGGCCATTGACTCTCCCAAGACACTTAGGCCAGGCATTTTCCAAGGACAGGTGCTTACTTACCCTCTGACTGAGGCATAGATGGGCTAGAGGGGCTTGCAGGGCATGGGCCACTTCCACACCCCAGAGCCCTGCCTCTCAGCTGGAAATTGACCACAATGTATCCTCAGTGTCTGATATGGGTCTGTTAAGTTACTTCAATGGGCTAAGGAAGGATGGATGTTTCCTATGGAAAAAAATAAAAATAGGCCAAACTGAGCTACAAGTTTGGATCAACTTTGAGATAAAGAATAACATTTATTTGGCCAGGCACGGTGGCTCACGCCTGTAAATCCCAGAATTTGGGAGGCCAAGGCAGGTGGCTCACTTGAGGCCAGGAGTTCGGGACCAGCCTGGTCAACATGATGAAACCTCTTCTCTACAAAAAATACAAAAATTAGCTGGGTGTGGTGGCATGCACCTGTAATCCCAGCTACTCAGGAGACTGAGGCAGGAGAATTGCTTGAACCCAGGAGGCAGAGGTTGCAGTGAGCTGAGATGACACCACTGCACTGTAGCCTGGGTGACAGAGTGAGACTCCATCTCAAACAAATATATATATATTTTTCTTATAAAATGTACACATAAAAAGTGTTTAATAATAATAAAATAATAAAATGAACACCCCTGTATCTACTACCTGGCTTAAGAAATAGAATCACTATTATCATTAAAAACACCTCCCACCCCTACCTGTGTATGTGACATTCCTGATGTCATCTGAGCATCTCCACCTTGTGGATGTTTGTCTTAATCATTGATATGGTTTGGATCTGTGTCCCTGCCCAAATCTCATTGAAATTGTAATTCCCAGTGTTGGAGGTGGGGCCTGGTGGAAGATAACTGGATCCTGGGGACAGATTTTCTCCTTCGTACCATTCTCATGATAGTGAGTGAGTTCTCGTGAGATTTGATTGTTTAAAAGTATGTGACACCTCCCCCTTCTCTCTCTCCCTCCGCTCCTCCTCCTCCAGCCATGTAAGATATGCCTGCTTCCCCTTTGCCTTCTGCCGTGATTGAAAGCTTCCTGAGGCCTCCCCAGAAGGCAAGCAGATGCCAACATCATGCTTCCTGTACAGCCTGTGGAACTGTGAGTCAATTCAACCTTTTTTCTTTATAAATTACCCAGTCTCAGGTATTTCTTTACAGCAATGCCAGAATGGACTAATATAATTATTCCCTGATTTTTTTTTTACAATTTTATCACATATGTATGCATCCCAGAACAATATGTTGTTACTCATGCATGTTTTCAAACTTTATATAAGTAGCACCCTATTCATTGTATTTTTTCATAATTTGCTGTTTTTACTCAACATTACACTTTTGAGTTTTATCTACACTGATGTATGTAGCTATTGTTTCTTTGGATGTATAGTTGTATGGTTTTCATTATATGATTACAGCAACATTTATTTATCCATGTTGCTGCTGATAGACATTTGGATTTCCAGTTTTTGCTATTACGATCAATGTTGCTATGAAGATTCCTATTGTGTGCATCTCTAGGCACATATGCAAGTCTCTTTTCCATATGTACTGAGTAAAAGCGCTGGATAGTAAAGTGTGCATGTGTTCAGCCTTAGTAGGTATCACGGGATGGCTTTTCCAAAGTCATTATACCAAGTTATACATCTGCCAGCATCAATATCCTCATAATACTTCATGTTGTCGGACTTAAGTTTTTGCCAATTTCATGTATGTGAAATGGCATCTCCTTCTGGTTGTAATTTGCGTTTTGTTGATTATTTTTTTTTCTCTTATGCTTATTGACCATTTCGTGTTTCCTTTAATGTGTTTCCTTGGCCAATTGTTTTACTGGGTTGTTTTTTTCCTAAAGATTCATAGACCTTCTTTATGTACTCTGGATATCAATCCTCTATTAGTTGCCCATGTTAGGAATATCTTCTAGTTTGTGGCTTGTCTTCTCTTTCTCCCTGTGGTATCTTTTGGGGAACAAAAGATCTTGATTTTATTGGAGGCAAATGTATCAGTCATTTTCTTTATGGGTTCCACTCCTGTGTCTTAAGAAATCATTCCTTACATTGGGGTCATGTCGATAGTCTCCTATTTCCTCTATATTCTTCACTCTGGATGCCATCTTCTTGTAGGAAGATGTCCCTAAGGTCCCATCTCAGCCAGCGTAGCTCCTTCTCAGCTCCTCCCATTCTCAACTGCAGTGGTCGGTTGATTTGCATTCGCCCCGCTGGGCCAGGAACAGGGACTATATATCATTGAGTTCTAACTTTGCGACTCTTGCAATGCCTGGCACACAGTAGTCTATCCTCTCTATGGCTTCTTCATTTTTTGCCTTCTTAAAATCTCCTTTTGCTTTGGCTCTGCAGCAATGGATTCTCAACCATAGCTGCACAACTTGCCAGATCCCACCCCCAGACTTTCTGATTTAATCGTTTTGGGTGGGGCATCAATGTGTTTAAAAAGGCCTTAAGGGGATCTTGCATGCTGTCAGGGTTGAGAGCCGCTGCTCTGTAGTTTTGTGAAAAAGCCAGGCTCCAGCATCTGTCCTCTGAAGCAACTCACTTCTCATGCTCCCCTGGTCTCTTACCTCAGTCCCAATTCCAAATAACAAGCCAGGAGGGTAGGCTGCAGTAGCGGACAGCAGGCCTTAAAAGTCCCCAGAAGGTGACCTGCCAAGAGTCTGTGAGCCTCCAGCCATCGAGACCGCCATACTGGCGGTTTCAGTTGCCACTAACGGGAAATAGACGAATGGGAGGGCATGGGGAGGTTTGGAAAGGGGCGAGAAGGGAAAGGTGCCATCTGTGAGAAAGGCAGAGGGATAGAGGGAGAGGCAAAAGAAACACATTCTGGAAAGCGCCAAAGTTTGTGACAGGAATCTGCCTCCTTCCCCCTCCCTTTCCCATCTGTTTTGGAGAAATGTAAATGCTCCCGTGTTCCCAGGTGACTGGCCGGCGGGGAGCCTCTTTGGAATTCTGCAAACTGGCCATCTGTCATCCTGTAATAAATGATAGCTATAAAAGAAAGTGATTATGGGGCCGATAGGGGGAGAGGCATTTGTTTATATTCTTATAATATGTATCAGATTGAATAGAAATTATCACTTAAAATTGACAAATGGAGAGCAAGGTTCCTTGGAGAGGGAATCAGGGACACAGTGGCAGTGATGGGACCATGGGCGAACTTTATTTGACCAGGTGTCAGGGACCAGCTCAGCCCCAGAGGTTCACATGGTACGCCGGGCCCCTGAGGGTGGGGATCCAGCTTCCAGCCTTCTCCAAAGGTCTTGGGTGTGCACCTGGCAAATGTGGCTTGGCTGGTGCATAGGAGGGTCTTATGTCCCCTCCTGCCTGGGGAGGAAGCAGGGTCGCTCTAGGAGATCAGCACAAAGCTGGGTTTGTTTCAGTGGGGCTACTTGACCCTGCATCTCCTATGTATGGCCCCCCAACAAATAACTACCTTCTGTTTGATTTTTTCCCTTCCAGCTATGCTTTTCCAGTTTCTGGTGTGATGCCCACCAGCTGGGCCTCCCATCTTCTGACTTTGCCTTTCTTGCATCGCATTCTTGGCCCCTAGCTCACCTTGTTCCCTGCCCTTCTGGAGCAGCACGTTTGCTTTGAGAGTCCCGGGGGGCTCGCTTCCCTAACGTGTCCCCTGTATTTCCGTATTTCTGATGCTGCCTGGTTGCCTCCTTCACAGCCCAGGCCAGGGAGCATTCAGGGCTGACATCTTCCTAAGAAGCAGCAAAAGGCTTGAGGAGCTCAGCTGTCCCTTCACCTTATCCTTCTCACATGCCTTGGCTAAAACCTCTAGTCTCCTCTGCTCTAAAATAGGATACTTTTTCCTAGGTCTCAAAATAATAAAACTTGATGTTTATAGAGTCCTGATCAGGTTTTCATACCCCACAGGCTAGGCACAGAAGATCTTATTCTGTCTATCTTACAGCTGGAATAACTGAGCACCCGAGAGGAAAAGTCACATTTCCATGGTCGCACATTAGGGAGTGACAGAGTCACCTGCTGTTCATTCCTTGCAGTATCCTTTACTATTGACTAATGCCTCTAAGGCAATAAGCACGCTTATTTCAAATACTTTTCACATTCTCCCTCCATGTTGATTATTTGACTGTATTTTTAATATTTAAGCACAAAACACCTTTGTATATTAAGCAGATCTTTATGTATTAAATACATTTATATATATGCAATACTCAGCATTAGTCTTTTTTTTTTTTTTTTTTTTTTTTTTTTTAAGATAGAGTCTTGCCCTGTATCCCAGGCTGGAGTGCAGTGGCAAGATCTCAGCTCACTGCAACCTCTGCCTTGCAGGTTCAAGCGATTCTCCTGCCTCAGCCTCCTGAGTAGCTGAGATTACAGGTGTCTGCCATCATGCCTAGCTAATTTTTGTATTCTTAGTAGAGATGGGGTTTCACCATGTTGGCCAGGCTGGTCTCTTAACTCCTGACCAGGCAGGTGATCTGCCTGCCTCGGCCTCCCAAAGTGCTGGGATTACAGATATGTGCCACTGCACCTGGCCTCGCACTAGTCTTAATTGACGTCACTCCACTCATTTCAATTGTCTTAGTTAATTTCTAGTGGATTCCTCAGGAGGGATTCGTAAGGGTTTCTTACACGTTCAAAAGTTTGTCTGCAGCCTTTGTACTTGACTCAATTTGTGTGGATATAAAATCCTTCACTCGTTTCCTGGAATAGCTTTAATTTATTATTAAAAAAAATTTTTTTTTTTTGCAGAAAGCATTGCTGTTGAAAAATCTGATGACAATTTAATTTTCTTTCCGTAGGGGATTTTGTGGCAATCCTTTCCAGTCCCTCCTGTTTCAGAGAGGTGTGTGTTCCTGTACTGTCAGGAAGGGAATATGGGCAAGATGTCCTTGCTAGCTTTCTGCCCAAGACCTTGCTCTTTTGTTGTTTTTCTTGAGGGATACAAAATATGGGCTTTCACTTTCAGAGGCCTCTGTTTCCCTTCTCATATGACATGGTTTGGATCACTGTCCTGGCCCGAATCCCAGGTCATATTGTAATCCCTAGTGTTGGAAGTGGGGCCTGGTGGAAGATGATTGGATCATGGGCACAGTTTCTCCTGAATGGTTTAGCACCATTCCCTTCGTGCTATTCTCCTTGGTGCTGTTTTCATGATCATGAGTGAGTTCTCGTGAGATCTGGTTGTTTAAAAATGTATAGCACAGCCAGGTGCTGTGGCTCATGCCTGTAATCCCAGCACTTTGGGAGGCCGAGGTGGGCAGATTACTTGAGGCCAGGAGTTCAAGACCAGCCTGGCCAACATGGTGAAACCTTGTCTCTACTAAAAATACAAAAATTAGCTGAGCGTGGTGGCACACGTCTGTAATCCCAGCTACTCGGAGGGCTGAGGCAGGAGAATTGCTTGAACCTGGGCCGGAGGTTGCAGTGAGCCGAAATGGCATCACTGCACTCCAGCCTGGGTGACAGAGCGAGACTCTGTCTCAAAAAAAAAAAAAAAAAAAAAAGGAGCACCTCCCCTCTCTCTTCCTCCTGCACCAGCACCAGCCATCCTCCCCAGAACCTGAGCAGATGTCAGAATCATGCTTCCTGTACAGACTACAGAACCGTGAGCCAATTAAACCTCTTTTCTTCATAAATTACTCAGTCTCAGATATGTATTTATAGCAAGGCAAGAATGGACTAATACACTGTGTAACTTCAGCACTGTCCGACAGAACTCTGTGATAATGGGTTTGTTCTACATCTGCACGGTCCAGTGCAGCCACCATACAGCAGAAGCTAGTAGCCAAGCATTTGAAATGTGGCTGATGCAACTAAGAGACTCCATTTTAAAATGCAATTTTATTTTGTATTTATTTATTTATTTTTGACACAGAGTCTCGCTCTGTCACCCAGGAGTGCAGTGGCACCATCCCAACTCACTGCAACCTCCGCCTCCAGGGTTCAAGTAATTCTCCTGCCTCAGCCTCTTGAGTAGCTGGGATGACAGGCATGTGCCACCATGCCTGGCTAATTTTTTTATTTTTAGTAGAGATAGGGTTTTGCCATGTTGGCTAGGCTGGTCTCGAACTCCTGACCTCAGGTGATCTACCCACCTCAGCCTCCCAAAGTGCTGAGATTACAGGTGTGAACCACCCTGCCTGCCCTTAAAATTCAATTTTACTTTGGGAGGCCGAGACAGGCGGATCATGAGGTCAGGAGATCAAGACCATCCCGGCTAACACAATGAAACCCCATCTCTACTAAAAATACAAAAAAATTAGCCGGGCATAGTGATGGGCACCTGTAGTCCCAGCTACTTGGGAGGCTGAGGCAGGAGAATGGTGTGAACCCAGGAGGCGGAGCTTGCAGTGAGCCGAGATCGTGCCACTGCACTCCAGCCTGGCCGACAGAGTGAGACTCCGTCTCAAAACAAACAAACAAACAAAGATTCCATTTTAGTGAGGGCCATTGTTAGGTAGCCATATCTGGCCAGTGGCGGGGGGTGGGGGGCGGGGTGGGGCAGGGTTCCATATTGAGCAGTAGGGAGTTCTAGGTCTTTCTCTCCTTTGCTGTTACTCTCCCAGTCTGCAGTCTGAAGCCTTAGTTTGTAGTTCCTCCTCTGTGTGGGGTTTGTCCTGGAAAGAAGCCCTCACTGGTTAGTTTCAGGAGCTATCAGGTCCAGACTGCCTAGGGTGTCCTAACCTCAACTCTGGGTCTGCCGAGACCCCTCCCAGCTTCTCTGCTCCTCTTACGTTTTAGCCTGTCATGGTTCCAGTCAGCACTTCTGGGTGGTTTTGAGGGTCTCTGGGCTACTTCACCCACTCATATTTGGGGGTTCATGGGATTCCTCCTTCTGATTTTGTTGTACATAAGGATATTTTGTTTTTCTACCCTAGTTGCTCTGCCCATTTTCCTAGAAGGAAGATTCAAAGTCTATGGTGCCATTGGCGCCACTGTCCTATTTTTATTTTGAAGACCCTGCTGGTGTGTAGATCTCAGAAGTACAGGCATTCTTGTGGATTCTCTGCTGCTTAAGTTTCAGCACAAAAAGTCACATGTTACGAAGTGCTAAGTACGTGGGAGGCACCAAAAATATGTGTTAAATGAATGAAGGTTCTTAACCACATACAGTCAACGTTAGACATCTGAGCAGATTCTAATAGTGTAGCAGACACTCTGGCACACTGAGCAAAATTGGCAGAAATAGATCTCTTGTGCAATGATAATTCAATGGCCAGATCCACGTGGCAAGACAAGGGGATGGACTCCAGCTAGCTCTGTGCTGCCATTGGGCCTCCTCTATGCAGGTCAATGTACAGAAGAGCAACAATCCTCATAAAGCTGATTAACGGACCCCCAGCAATGGGGAGGAGGCAATGAATTTAGAACTTAGCCCTGGAAGAAAGTGAAAGGTATGATTTCAAGGGAAATATTTATTATGTGCATAACACAACAATGAAATTGTAGACTGAATAAGTGATTGATGAAATGAATAAGTCAAAGACTTGGGTAACATCTCTTGATGAGAAGGCAAGCTCTTGAACATGCTGGATATGGCTGTAGTCACCCTGACACTTCTCAGATTACTCTCTGGAATAGAAATAAACTCAGGGGCTCTTCTGGGCATTGACCCCCCAAATCTTATCCCTCTGAAGAAGTTTTCTCTATGCCTTCATCCTGAGCCTACTCAGTTTTGATCCCTCCTTGATGCCTTCTGCAGAGATAATGTTCTGTTTGTTTTGCCCTTCTATTAAAGAACTTTCTTTTATACGAAGAGCTTGTGGCTCTTCATATAAGAAAGAAAATATAAAAGAAAGTGGGGTTTTCCCTCTTCCCTTGGTTCTGGGGCTCTACCCAGCTCTGGAATCAAAGTGTCCTGCCAGAGAGTCAGATGCTTATTTTTCATTTTCAAATATCCTTGACTCAATGTCAACTAAAAAATCACTTTCAAAAAAATGTGCTTATGTTCCAGAGACCCAAAGAATGCACAGGGAAGTCGGGAGGCAGCAAAGTCTCCACCTCCACTGCCGGGGAGCCAGGACCCTCTTTGAGCTGGTGTCTGGAGGACCCTCTGCTGCCCTGGCCCAGTGCTTGCCTTTATTTGCCCCTCTGCCTTAGGCCCTGGCTCATCAGTAGGAAATCTCAGTGCTACCTGCTTTCCATCTGGTGTCCTTCCTTCAAGCACAGACACAGGCAGCTTCTGCTCAGCAGACCCCAGACCTAAGTCTTAGCAGGGAAAAGCCTCTTGGTGCCTCTCCTAGCTCCATGCCCTTTTCCTCTCATCTATTTCAAAAAGTCGGGATTGGGGAAGCAGTGAAGGAATCAGCTGCTTCTACTCTCAAGAAGAAAATAGCCTCACCCCATCTCCTGCAAAAGGAGTACTATCCAGCCTGTAATATTCAGGGTCCTCCGGAGAGTCAGAGCTGATAGGACATATACACAGAGAGAGAGAGAGAGAGATGAGAGGAGACTTACAAGCTGAATTAGCTTATGAAATTATGGAGGCTGATGAGCCCCACAACTGGCCGTCTGTGAGCTGGAGAACCAGGGAAGCCAGTTGCATGGCTCAGTCCAAGTACAAAGGCCAGAGACCCAGGGATGCCAATAGGGTAACTCTCAGTCCAGGGCCAAAGTGCTGAGAACCCAGGGGCCACTGGTAGAAGTCCCCAAATCCAAAGGCCAGAGAATCTGGAAGTGGGATGTTCAAGGGCAGGCAAAGAAAGGTGTCCCATCTCCAGACGAGAGAGAGAGTAAATTCTCATGTCCTCTGCCTTTTTGTTCCATCTCAGCCCTCAGCTGATTGGATGGTGTTTGTCTATATTGGGTGAGGGTGAATCTTCCTTACTTGGGCCACTGATTCAAATGCCAGTCTCTTCCAAAAACACCCTCATAGACATACCCAGAAATAAGGTCTTGCCAGCTATCTGGCTGTCCCTTAATCCAGGCAAGTTGATACCTAAAATGAACCATCACACAGCCCAAAGAGCAGACCATGAAGAGGTGAGAGCCCCACCCTCACTCTGAGCTTCACCAGCATGGCATACACACTGCATCCCAAGGGTCATGAGACATTCTGCTGGACACAGACCCATAGGAGACTTGTGGAGTTTGGGGATGAGAGTTGTTCCAGGGCCCTCCTTCAGCCTCATCCCGACCCAAAAGTGGCCATTCAACACTCCCCGAGGGACTTCTGTGTGGGCCAGGAGCATTTTGCCACCTTCAGAAGCATGAATCAAGCCTTGCAGGTGGGTGATACCAATATCCACCCACGTGACTGCGTGCTGCTGGTAGCCCTGGTTCTGATGGGTTTCTGGGGGCTTCTCTCTCTTAGACACAAAGGGACTTTGATGTCCAGGGGCGTTTGTCCTGAACTGGTTTCTAGAAGGCCTTTGTTCCCATTGCTTTGATGAGGACAATAAGACAATCACTGGCTGACTGGACTCACAGACAACCTGGTCAGGGGACAGGTTACGGGACCTAGGAGGTGACTCGGTGCCTTTCACACATGCTCCCATGACACCCCACCTTCCATAAGTCACCCATTTTGTGTGTTTTTCTTTTTTTTTTTTTTGAGACAGAGTTTCATTCTGTCACCCAGGCTGGAGTGCAGTGGTGTGATCTTGGCTCACTGCAACCACCATCTCCAGGGTTCAAGCAATTCCCATGCTTCCGCCTCCCGCGTAGCTGGGATTACAGGTGCATGCCACCACGCCCGGCTAATTTCTATATTTTTTAGTAGAGACGGGCTTTCACCATGTTGCCCAGGCTGGTGTCAAACTCCTGACCGCAAGTAATCTCCCCTCCTTGGCCTCCCAAAGTGCTGGGATTACAGGCATGAGCCACCATGCCCGGCCAAGTCACTCTTTTGGATCTACCAGTATACATTTCTCTAACTCTTCTAGAATCTATTTAACTTTAAAATTTGTGTCAGCTATATTTAGTTTGGCAGCAATTAATAGAAACTTGGAGCTATAGCAGTTTAAATAAGTTAATGGTTTGCTTTTCTCTCAGGCAAAACACTCGTGGAGACAGGAGGTCCAGGGCTTTTTGACAGCCCCACGATGTGGTTAGCGCCTCAGGCTCCTTCTGCCTTTCTGTTCTACCATTCTTAGTGCATGTGTCTGTCCTCAAGGGAAACTCAGGGCTGCAAGATGGCTGCTGCCGCTACAGTCATCATGCCCACCTTCCTGTCTTGAAGAAGAAAAGAAAGGAAGAGCTTGCCAGAGGAGTCAGACCCTTTTAAAAAGATTTCCTGAAGCCCCCCCAACAATAACTTCCTCTTACATCTCAGGAGCTGCCGCAACTGCAAAGAAGGCTAGGAAATGAACCGGGAGTATCGCCATCCTCAACAACATAGGGATTTTGTTGGCAAAGAATTATCTCATGGCACCTAAGCCTTACTGAGCACTTAGCTGACGTTGGATACTCTAAGCACCCCATATGCGTGACCTCATGGAACCCTCACAACAATGCCATGATGTGGGAACTATGATTACCCTATTTTTCATAACAGGAAGCCGAGCCATAAGGGTTTCAATCATGTTTCTAAATGACAGAGCCAGGATTTGGCTCTGAGCATGAGTTTTTCCCACACTCGGGCTATCTTCCACTTGAGCCCCATGCCCTCAGCCATCAGCTGACTGCTTAAATTCAGGTCCCCTGAACTGCCCCCATGGTCCCCAGCCCCCAACCTTGTCACTGTGGTGAAAGAGCTTGGTCTTTCAGCTCGGAGGTCCCCATTCAGAACCGTCCTTTGAGACCTGGGTGATTCCCCACCTCTGAGGCTCACCACCACCAGTGGTGCCTGGCACTTGTGAATTCCTGGTCCCCTAACCTGTCCCCTCCTATCTCTCTTCCATATGTCCCTGTCCCTCTTTCTATTATTCTGTTTTTCTCTTCCTCCCTCTCTTCTTTTCTTTCACAACATCCCTTTATCCTTTCTTTAAAATAAAAGAAACACAGTCTTCCGGCCAGGGCTTAGTTCTTATACTCTCACTTTCCTTCTGCCCCTCCCCTTCGCCACCCTTCTCCTTCTCTGGCCTCCCATTCCCCACACGGAGGCACCTCCCCCAACCCCCACTGACACACAGCCACCCCCGTGAGCACACGCTGTGGAGCAGGCCCAGAGGAAACCGCCAAGCCAGGGACATAAACATAATGGAGCTGGCACGGGCCCCTCTCCAGGGCTCGGCTTGGGAGTCACTCACTGTCACTAACAGGCCTACGTCCCCAACTGCCTTCATGATGCTTGGGAGGAGAGAGCCCAGAGTGAAGGGGACTTTTACTATCCTCAGAGGGAGCTTTGTTCCTGCTACAATCTTTTCTGCTCTGCTCTAGGCCGGCCAGCAGCTTGAAAGAGGTTTTGGTTTAAATGGGTCTCTCTCCTTCACTCAGCAAACATCAATTAATTAACCAGAATAGTCAACAGTACCAATAAAGAGCTTGCAGGACTGGCCTGTGGGGTGGAGGTGGCATCTTAGAAAACCATGCAGGGCAGCCCATTCTGCAATGGATGGGCTGAAGCCCCAGGGCTTGGTTTCCTGTCTCCCTCCCAACCCCCTCCTCTGCCTCTGACCCTTAGGCTGTGACTTTGGTGTAAAAGGAACTTGCTCTGTTACCAAACACATTTATGTAGCTGATCTTATTCATCTTCAGAACAACTCCAGTTTACCGATGAGGCAGTGCCCAAGTTCAAACAGCCATGAGCAGTGGAGCC
The DNA here is from genome assembly GCF_000001405.40 of Homo sapiens. Taxonomy (NCBI): domain Eukaryota; kingdom Metazoa; phylum Chordata; class Mammalia; order Primates; family Hominidae; genus Homo; species Homo sapiens. The sequence goes on along the minus strand of NC_000014.9, from coordinate 76,590,890 downwards.
ACACTCCTGGATGATGAGGCCGTCCTGGTTTGCACAGACAACCTGCTTGTTTCAACAGGACCATGGAGGAGAGTAGAGGCCACCAGCCATATGCAGGGACCGTGCTCCGTTCCAGCTCTGCCATGGGAAGCTGTATGACCTTGCATGGCTGCCCAAAGCTCCTTTTGTCTTGCCCTGCCTCCCTCTATAAGTATGGAACGCGGCCGGGCGTGGCGGCTCACGCCTGTAATCCCAGCACTTTGGGAGGCCGAGGCAGGAGGCCGAGGCAGGAGATCAAGACCATCCTGGCCAACATGGTGAAACCCCGTCTCTACTAAGATACAAAAAATTATCCGGGCATGGTGGCATGCGGCTGTAGTCCCAGCTACTGGGCTGAGGCAGGGGAATTGCTTGAACCCGGGAGGTGAAGGTTGCAGTGAGCTGAGATTGCACCACTGCACTCCAGCCTGGTGACAGGGCAAGACTCCATCTTAAAAAAAAAAAATGGAATGCTGCACATTCACTTCCTCAGTCAGAGATGGCCCCATAACCCAGATGTCCCCAGTGGCAGGCAAAAGGTTTTTGTTTGGTTGGTTGGCTGGTTGGTTTTGGTTTTGGTTTTTTTTGAGATGAAGTCTCATTTTGTTGCCCAGGCTGGAGTGCAGTGGCGTGATCTCGGCTCTCTGCAACCTCCATCTCTTGGTTCAAGTGATTCTTGTGCCTTAGCCTCCTGAGTAGCTGGGATTACAGGTGTGCGCTGCCATGCCGCGTTAATTTTTGTATTTTTAGGCTGGGCATGGTGGCTCACGCCTGTAATCCCAGTACTTTGGGAGGCTGATGTGGGTGGATCACTGAGGTCAGGAGTTCGAGACCAGCCTGGCCAACATGATGAAACTCCGTCTCTTCTAAAAATACAAAAGTTAGCTGGGCATGGTGGCAGGCACCCATAATCCCAGCTATTGCAAGGGCTGAGGCAGGAGAATCACTTGAACCTGGAAGGCAGAGGTTCCAGTGAGCCGAGATCGCACCACTGCACTCCAGCCTGGGCAATAAGAGCAAAACTTTGTCTCAAAAAAAAAAAAAGAAAAAGATTTGTATTTTTAGTAGTTTAGGGGTTTCACCATGTTGGCCAGGCTGGTCTCGAACTCCTGGCCTCAAGTGATCCACCCACCTCAGCCTCCCAAAATGCTGGGATTACAGGTGTGAGCCACTGCACCCAGCCAAAAAGAAGTTTTTAGAAGTCCCCAGTGAAGGTTTGTTGTCCGGGATTTAAAAGGAGGGCTTTTTTGCCTATCCCCTTCTCTCCTGCTTTGCGTCATGGTATGAAGATATGACACTGGGAGCTGAGGCAGCCATCGTGTGAGCATGAGGTGGCGAGCTTGAGGACTGAAGCCAACATATTAGAGCACGTGAAGAGCCTGAGTCATGGAACCCTGCCTCCAGCTATCAGCTCCCCCTTCAGACTTCTTATTATGGGAGGAAAATACACCTTTACTTGTTGAAGTTTTTACAATGGGCAGAATGATGTCACCATTCCCAGAGATGTTCATGTTTTAATCCCTGGAATCTATGACTATGTTAGGTTATTTGGCAACAGGAAATAGTGGTAGCAGATACAATTAAGGTTGCTAATCAGCTGGATTTAAAATGAGGAGATTATCCTGGAGTGTCTGAATGGACCTATATAGATGTATCCCTCAAGACATATATATCTCTCAGAGAGAGAGAAAATTTATATTATTTTTTATTTTTTTATTTTTTTTGAGACGGAGTCTCACTCTGTCGCCCAGGCTGGAGTGCAGTGGTGTGATCTCGACTCACTGCAACCTCCTGGGTTGGAGCAATTCTCCTGCCTCAGCCTCCCGAGTAGCTGGGATTACAGGCACCTGCCACCATGCCTAGCTAATTTTTGTATTTTTAGTAGAGATGGGGTTTCACTACGTTGGCCAGGCTGGTCTTGAACTCCTAACCTCAGGTGATCCACCCACCTCGGCCTCCCAGAGTGCTCGGATTACAGGTGTGAACCACTGCATCAGGCCAAGAAAAATTTATTTTAAGGAATTGGCCCATGAGCCTGAAATTTGTAAAGCAGTCTGGCAGGCTGGAAATTCAGGGAATAGTCAATGTTGAAGTCTTGAGTGCAAAGTCTGCAGGCTGAAAATTCAGGCAGAAATTCTATATTGCAGTCTTGAGGCAGAACTGCTCCTACTTTGAAACCTCAGTCTTTTCTCAGCCTTCAACTGACTGCATCAAGACTCTCAGGTAATAGAGGGTCACCTGCTTTACTGAAAGTCTACTGATCTGAGGTGAGTGCAGTGGCACATGCCTGTAATAGAAGCTACTCGGGAGGCTAAAGCGGGAGGGTTGCTTGAGGCCAGGAGTTCGAGGCCACAGCGAGCCATGATCATACCACTACACACCAGCTGGGGCAACGGAGCAAGACTCTGACTCAAAAAAAAAAAAAGTTTAATTTAAGTGTTAATCACATCTAAAAACTACTTTTATAGCAACAGGCCAGGTGGGGTGGCTCATGCCTGTAATCCAGCACTTTGGAAGGCTGAGGGAGGTGAATCATTTGACACCAGGAGTTTGAGACCAGCCTGGCCAACATGGTGAAACCCCCCCCGCCCTACAAAAGATTAAAAAACCGGGCATGGTGGCCTGTCCCTGTGGTTCTAGCTACTTGGGAGGCTGAGACAGGAGGATCACCTGAGCTCAGGTGGCCAAGGCTGCAGTAAGCTGTGATCACACCACTGCACTCCAGCCTGGGCTACAGAGCGAGACTCTGTCTCAAGAATAAATAAATAAATAAATAAATAAATAAATAAATATTTTAAAAGCTACTTTATAGCAATAGCTAGACTAGTGTTTGACCAAACAACTAGGCACCATAGCCTTGCCACGTTGACACATAAAAGTAACCATCACAAGGGTCCCCAAACGTACAAGAGGGAGGCAAAAGAGTCAGTGTCACAGTGATTCTATGTGGCAAAGACTCGACCGGCATTGCAGGCTTTGAAGATGGAATGGGGCCATGAGCCAAGGAATGCAGGACACCACTAACAGCTGGAAAAGGAAAGAAAATGGTTTTCCCCTAGAGCTTCTAGAAAGCAACAAGCCCTGCTGATGCCTTGATTTTAGCCTTGTAAGACCTATTTGGACTTCTGACCTCCAGAACAGTAAGATGATAAATATGTGTTGTTTTAAGCCTCTAAACTTTATTATAGCAGCACAAGGAAATGAATACAGCCACTGTTTGTTCAGATTTTTTTCATGCACTTACAGCCAAAAGCATACCTAACATTCACTTGGTAATGTCACTTTATCTCTCTGAACTTTCAGTTCATCTCTGATGAATGGTAGGGGGTGAGGGGAGAGACTGAAGTTCTCTAGGCCTGTTTCTACCCTGCCTATGTCGGATCTAAATCTACCTGACTCAAGGGTGGTCTATTACTCCCTTACCAAGGTCCTCCTCTGCAGAACTGTATAAGTGGCACTCCAGGATGTTGGCCCTTCTTGCTAGCCATGGCCTTTGAGGCTCCCCAGACACATGCTAAGCACTTTAAGGAAAGGGGCCATGTCTTCTCTTTGTATCTTCTCACAGCAACCACTGCATGAATCAACTTTCTAGCATTCTCCTGTCACTAGCTGTGTGGCCTGGGACACATTACTTAACCTCTCTGGGCTGCAGGCTATTTGTCTCTAATAAGCAGATAATAGAAGTACCTGCCTCATAGGCTTATTATATAAGGAATAATTGAGATAATGAACGTGAAACATTTAGCACAGTACCTGACAACACACACTAAATAAATATTACTTTTAATGGTGATATTATTCACCACAATAAATATATTGAAAAGGCATTATTCTTGCCATTTTGCTATTAAGAAAACATATATTCAAAGAGGTCAGTTAATTTGCATGAGATTATGGAGCTCAAGAGGGCAAAGTTAGACTTGGAACCTAAATCTACCTGGTAAAATTAAAGGTAATAACACATGTAAAGTGCCTAGAACAGTGCCTGGCACATACCAGGCTCTCAGTAATGATAACTGTTATCGTATTTCTACTCCCTTAATTTATCTCTATTTATTCAATCGACACTTATTGCATGCCAACTACATATGTGTCAAATCCTGAACTAAGCAGGACGACTGCAAAGATAAAAGACAGAGACCCTGAGCTCAAGGCTATAACTACTGAGCTTGATATTCCTATAAATTACTGGCAAGAGTGCAGGACACCCACAAGGACAAGGATGGGGACAGCGGGGACCCCGTACTCTCTTCCCTCTCGTTACCCATCAGGGCTACTTTTCATTCCTTGCAATGGATTTTTCCCTTCCCATCTCCAGGCCTTGCTCACTTCCACTTCCTCACTGACCCCAGGAAGGCACCCACTCCTTCTCCCCTTGTCCGTTTCTGCTTTGGAAATCCCATCCACCCTTCAAAGCCCAACTTGAATCCCTGCCCAACCATAGCGGCTTCCTGGATGATCCTACCCAATTTTCCTTTGAACAACTCAGGGTGCACTATCCAGGGTGATCATCTAAGTATGTGATAATCAGCTGTCATGGGCGCTGGCTGGTCAGAATGAGCCCAGCTGCAAAGACCCATAAGGCTCCACCAGGCTCACCAGCTGCATGGCCACCCTTTGAGGCCACTCAGCTGACACTAGATGTTTGTGGCCTTGAACGAGAGGCATTTTTAAATTTTTTCATCTTTTTGTTCTTTATAACTAGATTGTAAGCTTCTTTGAGTTCCTCATAGCATCCGCCTTTATCATATGTATCTGTCAGGAATACTTGTAGATGCAAATAACAGAAAAATTATCAATGTTTTAGAAAAATAGAATGCTATTTTTCCCCAAAACAAGAATGCTGGGAGTAGATGACTTCTAGGGATTGTTCTGTGGCCCAGTGGCATCAGGACCAGCATTTCTGTGTGTCTCTTGGCCTTTCCCTCATGTTCAAAAACAGCTGCCAAAACTCCAAATAGAAGGAAAGAAACCGCGTTACCCATAGTGTCTGTCCCTTTAATTTGACTTCCCTCTTATCGTATTGCCTGCTTCAGCGTCACGGGACCAGCCCAGCCTCCACGGAGGTTGGTGTAATAGAACAAATGTTTATGTCCCCTCCAAACTCATATGTTGAAATTTTCACCCCTAAAGTGATGACATTAGGAGGCGGGGCCTTTTGGAGGTGACTGGGTCATGGGGGAGGAGCCCTCATGAGTGGGATTAGTGCCTTTGTAGGAGACCCCGGAGAGATCCCTCTCCCCTCCCACTGTGTGAGGATGCCATGGCCGTCTAGCGAGCGGACCCTCACCAGACACTGAATCCACTGGTGCCTTGATCTTGGACTTCCAGCCTTCGGACTGTGAGAAATAAACTCCTGTTGTTTATAAGCCCTGTTGTTTATAAGCCACTCAGTTTATAGTATTGTTTTAGCAGCCTGAATAAAACAAGAAAGTTGGAAATAGAAGTGTTTCCCTTTTCCAGTCTCTGAGGTGGTGGCAGGCTAGGAATGATGGGGCTGGGAGTGGGCATTATGTCAGGTGGCCAGCCAGCAGCGTCTGCCACACCACACCTGAATGAATGAATGAAGGAAGAAAGGAAGGCAGCAACCAATGAATGAATCAATGAATGAGTCCATCAATCAGCCTAAGAGAGGGTTCCACTTGGACAAGTCTAGGGTAGGAAGGAACCCAGGGATGTGGTCTTCAGAGCTCTATGTGGCCACTGGGTCCGGCCTGCACAGAGTTTCTCCCAAATCTCCCCCCAGCCCTCCTTCTTTCCCTTCTCCCAGCCCCTTTGTGGGCTTCCCTTAAGAGTGGAACCCCAATACAGCTGTTTACGGCCCTGAAGAGACAAGCAGGGCTCTGTCCCTCCTCTAGTTCCTGCCCCCATCCTGTCCATACAAGATTGATAATGAAACCAATACCTTTTACCAGCGTAATTTTCATATTTAATGAGCGTGACTCAAAAACTATTACATTAATTAGTCAAATCCCACAAACCGTTAATGGTGCACGCAGTAATTAATATTGTATTCAATTAAAAAATGACCTGTTTCGGGGGCTTCTCCCAGGTTGGGAGCATGGGGGCTGGGGTGTTTGCAGGCGTGCAGGGGCCTGTTTGCAGGCAGAAGCCCTCTGGTCCTGCTGCCCTTTCATTTCCCTTTCCTCTTCCCAGTGATACCTGGAGTGAGAATGCACCAGGAGAACGTGGGTGCTTCCCACCCGCCACCCTGGCCAGCCACTGGCTTCCCCTCTGTTTTGCCGCACTCCCCTCCACCTCTTCCCCCTCTGCTGAGCCGACAGCCTACTTGCTGTGATTTATGGGAGGGCCTGGCACAGGGCTCACGAACTGGAAAATTTCCAGTTTACACAAGAATTCCCTGAAAAATGAGCTTGCTTAATTTATTTCTTTCATTAACGAGTTCGAACTGTGAGATCATCTTTCTGAGGGCCCCTCCGGTGCCACCCGGCATTGTTCATACATCCTGACAAGCTGCTCCCTGGCCTCCCCTCCTGCCTGCTGGGCCAGTGGCCAGGGCCCCAGGGAGGGATGAGGGGCTGACCTCAGTTGGTGTCTGCCTGGTGGCCCAACCACTGGGACTGGGGCCTTTGGCCAATCAGGGATCCACTTTCCTTCCACCCTGTTAATAACTGGGATTGAAGCTCAAAGCTAAACCAACAGGAGCCAGAGGCTTGATGTTGGCTGGATGCACTTACAGAGGGCACGGCACTTTGCTAGGCCTGGGTGGCAGCAGCCAGGAGGAGTTTAAGTCAAAGTGCTCATCAACCGGGGACGTAAGATCCAAGGATGGAGACAGCACCGATAATCAGGACACAACTGGAGGACAAGGCCTAGGCCCTGCCCTCATGTGTGGCCTGGAACGAGAGTGTCCAGGGGCCCTCAACCCGCAGCTCTCCCACATCCCTCCCAACAGGACACCTAGCTCTCACCCTACACTTTGGCTCCCTCTCCCAAACAGCTGCCTCTGGGCCACCCATCAGGCCTGGGATGAGCTTGACCCACCTCCCAAGGGAAGGGCCAGGAAGGAGGCCCACATAAATTCTGGAAGCCACTTAGGGCCAAGTATACAGGGAATTCTGAGGATGTGGAATAGGGTCTACAGAAGAACACAGGCTTGGTTCCGGGAATCCTTGTGCCACAGGGAGGAGCTCTGCTATAGAAGAGGGACAGTGGAGATCCAGGGCAGAGGCTCCCTTGCCTGGGTTAAGGGCAGACCTTATGAGATTACGGTGGAAACAATTTGAAACAGCTGAAAGCCAATGGGGCAGCATGTCGTGTGGTTGGAGTACCTGGGCTTTGGAGCAGGACCACCTGGTTGGAATCCTGACTCTGCCATGTTCTTGCTGTGGAACTTTGGGCAAATTACCTACCCTCTCTATTCTCAGGGTCTTGATTTTAGGAGGAGGATAAAAAAAATTGATTCTTCATAGGGCTATTGAGAAGTTAAATATGTAGTGCACAGAGCCCTCTATCTGACACAGAGTAGGAATTAAATTAGTGTAAGTGATGACTACTGTATCAATGGCAGCATTATTAGATGATGTAATGACAGTGCTTTGCAAACATCCAGCCTTGTGATTGATGTTACAGACTCGGGGCACTTGGCTCTACCATTTGCTTGCTGTGGGATCTTGGGCAAAGCACATAACCTGCCTGAACCTCAATTTCCTCAACTGCAAAATAGAGATTATTATAACCACCTCATAGGATGTTGTGCAAATAGAGTGGAATAATGCATGTTAAGGGTCTAGCACATGGTAAGTCTTTAGACCAAGTCAGTTATTATTATCTATTAACAACTATTACCCCATCTAAATGTTTGGGATTCATCATGATTATCACCCTCCAAACAGATATTTTAGTGCTTCCTTTTCCACTCTAAAATAAAATCCATAATAATATAACCTGAGTAAATGCATAATTTAAAAATAATACTACAGATTCTAAATACAATATGAAGAAAAATAAAATAAGAGTAATTTACTTAAAAAACAATATGACTTTAAGTGTAACACTAAAAAAGTAATTTCTAACAAAACAATTTGTATTTTAACCTATAAATGATCAGGTATGATGGCACTAGAAGGCATAAAGGAGGAGTCTGTTGGTGAAATCTGAGTGAGGTCTATAGTCTAGTTAATTGCACTGCACCAATCAATTTCCTGATTTTGATAATGAGCTATAGGTATATAAGATACTTCCACTGGGGGAAGCTGGGTTATGAGTACATGGTACCTCCCTGTACTACTTTTGCAGCTTCTTGTGAGTCTATAATTATTTCATAATTTATAAGTGGATTTCTTAGCTACAAATGCAGACTAATATATACTGCCAAATGAGCAGCCAAATACGATGAATAGTGTTTCCATTGTGATTTCATTTTCTGAAATAGTGAACAATTCTTGGCAAGGTCATGAACAAAACAAAGTTCAGTTTTACCTTGATTTACAAGAGTTGAATTGCTGGAAAATTTGGTGATATTAAAACTCTACAAAAAACTGCTTTGTATTTTTATGTAAAAAAAGTGTTAAGCCAGACTCAGATCCCTCAGGTCAAGTTTGTCATACATATTAATGTCCAGTGAACATCCAAAATTCACATGAGCATTGGTGGTATAGTGGTGAGCATAGCTGCCTTCCAAAATTCACAAGAGACATGAAAGAACCTTTGTCATGTAGGATTATCCTGTGTGTTTGCCATCCTCCCTGGACACGCCCACTAAATGCTGTGGGGAAACACAATCACTGAAATTGCCCACCTCCCTGTCCCCCTTCTCAGAGGGAAGAAACTTCCACTGAGAGCCATTAATATATAGAGGGTTCTAGTCATCCTTCTCATTCCTAACATGGTGGGCACATTTAACACTCACTGTCTTGAATTTGGGCCCATAGTGGTAGGCTTCCCTTGTCCCTACCACTCTAGGAAATAGCTCTCATCCCTTCTTTCTGCAGAGCCTTCCTCAACTCTGTATTCCTTTAGCCTTGACCATGTCAGCATCACCCTTATAAATGAGCCTTTTGAAGCCAGGTGCCTGTAGCTGAACGCCTGGAGGCAGCCACCATCTTCCCAAGAGAGGACTGACTCATTCTCTCTGCCAGGTGCCAAGAGAGAGATGAGGCCTATCCACATTTCCAAGGGCCTTCCCTGTGAAGCCCAGTCCTGCACCTGCACCACACTGCTGCTCTTCAGCCAGCTCTCTAGAATTTGAAACCTGGGTAGGAGTTCCCACCATCCTACCCCCAACTAGTACATCTTCAAAGAATAAACTGCCCAATCAGCCTTCACATCTTCTTACTAATAAAAGGAAAACATGGAGCTAAAAAAATAATGACCCTTGGCAAACTGATATCAAACATAACCAAAAATGCTTAGTAGCTGTGTGAACTTGAACAAATCACGTAATCTCTCTGAGCCTTAATGTCCTCAAACTGTATAAGGGTCATGTAGAATAGTTTATATG